>NC_000004.12:81800168-81951684 GCF_000001405.40 Homo sapiens | reverse complement strand
TTGCAGTAAGCACACAATAAATATCCTTTCTTGAAATTTTTCAAGGACTTTGTTGTGATTTAGCTTAGTACTTCTAAAGACCTTTGCATTGTGCTTATTTTCACATAGCATAAGAAGCTTTTACATGAAAGGGAATGCCATTGTTCGTGGGACAGAAGCAAATTTAATATAAACAAACAAATCACAAGCACTAGCTTCTGGTAGATTAGAAGACAGTGGTGATAATAGTAGTTTATAGTGCTTACTACATGTCAGGCATTGTTTTAATTTTACATATGTTAGCTTATGTAATCATCACAATAATCCTATATATTAGGCATTACTATTTCCTTCATTTTACAGATGGGAAAATTGAGGCACAGTGAGATTAAATTGCCCCAGGTCACACAGCTAGTAAAGTGGCAGAGTTATTTCTTCACGTCCAGACAGTCTGGCTGCAGAGGCTGTGCATGGGAGACTCCTGTTCACTTTTAGCACCTAGTCAAGGGCCTCTCTTTTGTGAAATCTTCTGTGAAGTCTTTTCTGATATGTTTTTGAGGGTTGTTTACCACTACCTATGCCAGCTACCACTCTATCTTGTACAAGTTTGATTGTAGCAGGAACCACACTATATTGTAGTCATTTGTTCATATTTCTATGAGTTCCTTGTGCATGTAGACTATCTTGCGTTTTTTTAAACTTCAGTATATCTATAAATGGCCCAGAGATCTTGTTGGAATGCAGATTTCAATTTAGTAGGTGTGATGGTTAATTTTATGTATCAACTTGAGTGGGCCACAGGGTGCCCAGATATTTGGTCAGACATTATTCTAGATGTTTCTGTGAGGATATTTTTGGATGAGATTATTGTTTAGCTCAGTAGTAGACTTAATAAAGCAAATTGTCCTTCCAAATGTGGGTGGGACTCATCCAATCAGTTGAAGGCCTTCATAGAAGAAAAAGGCTGACTTTCCCCTGGAGTAAGCAAGAATTCCTCCTGCCTGACTGCCTTTCAGCTGGAACATCAGCTTCTTCATTTTTAAAAATTTTAGATGCAGAGGGTGTATGTGTAGGTATGGGTATATTGAGTGATGCTGAGGTTTGGGCTTCTAAAGACAGCACATCCGTGTCTTCATGGCTTTGGACTTTAACTGAAACATGGCCCTCCCTAGGACTTGAGCCTGCTGGTCTTCTGGCTAGAACAAGCCCATTGGCTCTCCTGGGTCTCTAGTTCTCTGACTCACCCAGCAGATCATAGGACTTGTCAGTCTCCATAATCTTACAGGCCAGTTCCTTATAATAAATCTATCTATATATAGTTAAAGAAAGATATATATCAATTACCTATTGGTTCTGTTTCTCTGGATAGCCCTAATCTAGTAGGTTTGGAGTGGGGCCTGAGATTCTACATTTCTAACCAGTTTCCAGGTTAGGCTGATGCTCCTGTGCAGTGGGCCACATTGTGAGGAGCGAGGATGAGACTGTCTCATTCACCTTCATATCCTTGGTCTCTAGCAGAGTAGGCACCCTGCAAATTTCTGTTGAAGGTTTTGGATAAAGCGTTTTTTTTTTTTTTTTTTTTTTGAGATGGAGTCTTGCTCTGTCACCAGGCTGGAGTGCAGTGGTGTGATCTTGGCTCACTGCAATCTCTGCCTCTGTGGTTCAAGCAGTTCTCCTGCCTCAGCCTCCCGAGTAGCTGGGATTACAGGCACCTGCCACCACGCCCAGCCAATTTTTGTATTTTTAGTAGAGATGGGGTTTCACCTTGTTGGCCAGGATGGTCTCCATCTCTTGACTTTGTGATTCGCCTGCCTTTGCCTCCCAAAGTGCTGGGATTACAGGTGTGAGCCACTGCACCCAGCCTAAAGTTTTCTTTTGTTCTGTTTTTTTTTTTTTTTTTTTTTTTTTTACTAAGTGAAAGATTCCTTAAAAAAAAGAAAACAGAAAAAACTCAAGGAAATAGTAATAAGATTAAGTAATTCTGAAAACTGTAACTTCACCTTTAGTATAGTCCAAATTTGACCTAAATAAAGGGGAGAAAAGAGAAGGTTAAATCAGAAAATGACAGATTGTAAGAGCTAAATGCAGCAAATGGAAAGCAAGATTAATGAGACTGATTGGGACGTACTGAAATCTACCCATGGCTAAGCATAGAAAAGATGAAATTAGCTTTAGTACTTGTGGGTTTAATAGCATGGATTTGAAACTAGGCACTGCTGGTGTGTTTTAATGTTATGTAAAATTTTGTTCCATGCATTCATGCATTGAAAAGTCATTTTAATCACTGGTAAGTGATAATGTATCCATAAAGTTTAAGCCTGATAACCTTCAGTTAGTTTCATGGGTCATTATTTTCTGCTGTGGAAATGGTGCACCTCACCTGCTGTGTTTTCTCTTGGAACTTTGTTCCTGAAGTTTGGTTACACTATAATCAGCTTAACAAATTCAAGCTTTAATTTCTGTGTGGTAAGTGTTGATAAGATGTTTCATCATTTGTCTTACTCATTTTCTCTTAGTAACTAGGGTTTATTTACCAGATTTATACACCTGTGAGTCTAAGCTTAAAATTAACGTAGGAAGCACATAAAAGATGAAAATGCTAAAATAATAACAGAAGAAGTCAATAGGAGTAAGACATATACACAGACTACACACACATACAATCCAAGATGTCACTGATTGTAAGATGGTGTCATCTTTCAATGCATATGTCTAATAGTGTATACTGCTGCTAAAATTGAAAAAATGCAGCACTATAATACATTATAATTATATAATATATAATATATTACATATATATGATACATCTCATTTTCAGAGATAATAACATGAAAAAATTTTGCACTTTAGAATTTGTGAAATACATTGTATGTTTATGTATACATGTATGTGTGTGTAGATATATGACTAAATTAATACATATATTTATTTATACATACCCATTCAGATGTATAGACAATGTTAAAAGCTACGTTTCTATGTATTAGAAGTCAGACTCTGTCTGGAAGGCTGTAGATACTCTATATAGAAAGTGCAGAAAATTGTTTTTCTTGTACTGTATAGCTAGAATCTGAGACTGCTATATTTTAGGCTTATTTTAAATGTTGGGAATTATTGAAACAGAAGTCCATTGTAATGTTCTTAGGGCTTAAGCTATTTCAGGCTTCAAAAATAATACCTATTTTGACTTCTGAAATTGAAGATCTTTAGTTTACAAAGACAATTATAATTTAAGTAAAAGCTATTTGATTTTTCTTGCAAAATATGTGTTCTTTGATATGTCCTTCTGTTATCTTGGTTTTTTTTTTTGGTAGACATTTTAGTGCAGATCTGCCACTTTAAAAAATCTTATTTAATCTGGGGTCTCATTTAAATTGACCCTGTTAATCAAACCAAATTGCCAAGGCTTTCACTTGTATGACCTGGTTAAAATTGCAGGGCAAGTTCAGAATTGCTTCGTACATACAGACCTCCCAAAAATTCAATAATGATTTTTAGTGTATGTGGACTTTGTGACAAGTAGCAATGGACTTTATGTGAGGAACAATTAAAAAGCATCAATACTCACTAATGTCTTGCACCAAGGGACTGGAATTGTGAAAAAGCTATGGACTCTAGGAGCATGATGGATATTGTAGGCAAAACACAATTGTCATGGAAAAGCTAATGATCATTATTTTTCATGGATGGAACTTTTACGCTGCCAATAAAACCTTTCGAATGGGTGGACATGTGTCCCTCAGGAAACATGTTTAGTCATTGTTAATCTGTTTTCTCCTTTCCTTGTCCCCAAATCCTCTTGAAGAGTTAGATTATTTAATGTTGAACCTGGTTTTATTTCATGTTGCTTTCTGTTTATATCTTGTATTTGAACTAAAAAGGCTAGTTTATTCACTACAAAAACAGGAGATAAAAGATGATCATTAAGGGGCTACTAAGATAGCAAGACTACAGGAATCAATAGCAATAAAAATCTCATCTCATTTTTAAAGAGAGAAGAATCATGGGCATTTTGCAAAACAGTATTATTAGGCAAAATAAATTGCATTTTTGCCTAGATAAAAAATCCACACTGTTTGAATAATGACAGGAGATGTAATATACTTGGAGTTAGTAGGAATTGAGTAATTCCTGTGTGTTAGGCACCTACAACAACCCTAAAAGCAGTACTCTGACTAGGCTGATTTTACAGATGCAGACACCGAAGCCCAAAGAAGTTAGATAACTTGATTAGGCAATGTCCTATCAAGAAACACATTCAAATTGGGTATTTGGAGGAGAGTTTACTTAAGAGATTATTTATGAGGGTGTTAGCAAGGTTTAAGGAACAACAAGGAGTTAGCAACATCAGGAGTCAGTTCTACCCCTACAATTAAGGGGACAGGGAGGGGGAACAGTTCCTGGATCCAAAGCTCTATAAAGAGGACTGCCTGATGGGGTCTGTGGACTTGGGGAGAGGTATGTTGCCAGGTTCAGAGACTCTGCAGGGAGCTGGTGTAATAAATACCTAGCTTCACTCTCCTACCCTCCGGCATCCTGCTGGTGCCTTTCATTGGCAGAATCCCACTGGAAGTTAAAGGGCAAAAGAGCCATTGATGCAGTCACTATGGTTTAGCCTCCAGGACACAGAGTAGGACGGCACATGGATGTGGAGGAGCAACGGGGCGACAACCAATTGCCAGCTGTCTAGGTGTTAAGAGTTAGTAATTGGCAGGGCACAGGAATAAATGCAGGCAGTGCTGGTGCTCTTAACTGCCTCATGGCAGATGCCTTCAGTTGTCTTTCAGAGTTCATCTAGGATTCACAAAAATTCAATGAAATGTCTTAGCAGCCCCAAACATTGGTTATTCATTCTTTATTACTCACTTAAAATTTCATCAAACCTTCATTTCTAGTATTACTGGAAGAACATCTTGTCTTTCCTTCCCTGGGTTCTATGAGTACAGGTTTGTTTTTGGCTCTTGACTATTTGTTTTGTTACTTCACCATTCCTCTGTGGAGTGTTCTTTTATTTTTGGGAGTGCTTTTCCAATTATTATTATAGTTGAGAAGAAATCAGTTCTTATCTTAAGCCAGGTAGATTTGGGGGTATTTTGCAGTATCAGGAAAGTAACTGTTTCCAAAAAAACACAAGAAAATTGCCTTTTAGTGTATGTGTCAAGGAGCCAAAATTCCTGAAGAAAAAGGACTCTCTTTGTGAACAGGCAGATAAATGAGTAAATGATGGTCTGTTTTTATGTTAAAATGTAGTTATTTCCATAGATACCTGATTCATAAGGAGTAGTTATGTGGTAATGTTTCCCCAAGTCTATTTGAATTATGCATAGCATATTATAAACTTGTAGCTTCTTACTCAAATATTTCAAAATATTTTTTCAAAAATTATTGATGTGCAGTGCCTTAAATAGAGATTAATAGATTCAACTTTCCATTTTTATATTCACTTGCTACAAGATAAATTTTGGAAATATATTAAGGCTTATTGATTATAGTGATCTTAATTTTTATCTTTGAAAAAAGTGTAATGAAAATTTTGTATGTTAAAATGGGATATTATGATGACATTTGACCAGACCAAGCTATTCCTTGTAGGGAGTAGGGAGCCCCAGGTTACTCAGGAGTCTACATCTGGTCATGTGGTGTGTGATAGTTACAGAGTTTAGCACGGCTAGTGATAGCTTCAGTGGACAGCTAGTTTGATGAATATTCTGCTTGCTATTAATAATAACTAACATTTGTATACAATGTTAAGACTTACAAAGTACTTTTATACACATACATCATTTTATCTAAACTTCGACCCTGTGGGGAAGTTCTTTTCTTTTTCTTTTCTTTTTTTTGAGACAGGGCTTGCTCTGTTACCCAGATTGTAGTGCAGTGGGGCGATCATAGCTCACTGCTGCAGCCTCAAACCCCGGGGCTCAAGCCTGGGAGGAAGTTATTCCTATCATCAAAATACAAACAAGGACATTCAGTGTTCAAAATCCAGTGTTTGATTTCATAGCTAGTGGGTGGTAAAGCCAGATACAAACACATTTTCTGACTCCCAAGTTTGGATGTCTTTTTGATTATCTAATGTTGACTTACGAAGTATCAACCCAACTAATTGACAAGACAGGGCTGAGTTTATGGCTTATGCAGTGAGGGAGAACACTGCTTTGACAGAGTCTTGACAACTCTTAGAGGGGGAGAGGCAAGGTTGGATTTTATTGAGAATTAGAAGTTTGGTTTAAAATTGGTCTTTCAATGCAGGGACTGATCAGGAATGAATAAGAATGGCCGGGCATGGTGGCTCAGGCCTGTAATCCCACCGCTTTGGGAGGCCAAGGTGGTCACATCACCTGAGGTCAGGAGTTTGAGACCAGCCTGGCCAACATGGTGAAACAATTTAGGATTTGATAGAAACAGCAAGGTGAGGTGTTCCAAGAATTTTGATACTTCTTTTTTTTTCAACTTTTATTTTAGACTCAGGGGATACATACGCAGGTTTATTCTTGGGTATATTGCATGATGCTGAGATTTGGGTTAGGAACGGTTTCGTAGTGAGCATAGTACTCGATAGTTTTTTGATGCTTGCCCCCATCCCCACCTCCCCACAGTAGCCCCCAGTTTCTATTGTTCCCATCTTTATGTCCACGAATACTCAATGTTTGGCTCCCACTTATAAGTGAAAACATGTGGTATTTAGTTCTCTCTTCCTGCATTAATTCACTTAGGACACTGGCTTCCAACTGCATCTATGTTGCTGCAAAGGACATGATTCCTTTCTTTTGTGTGGCTGCATAGTATTCCGTGGTGTATATGTACCACATTTTCTTTAACCAACCCACTTTTGATGGGCACCTAGATTGGTTCCATGTCTTTGCTATTGTGAATAGTGCTGTGATGAACATGTGAGTGCATGAGTCTTGTTGGTAGAACACTGTGTTGTTACTTCTTATTGAAGACTTAATGGTCTTTTGGGAAATTCTTGTAATGAACAATCAAGTTACGTGCCTTAGCAAGAGTCTCCTGGAGTGGCAAAGTAATACTAATGAAGACAATAGATTACAGTCATGTTGATGCAGACAGTTAGCTCTGTGTGTGTGTGTGTGTGTGTGTGTGTGTGTGTGAGAGAGAGAGAGAGAGAGAGAGAAGGAGGGAGAGAGAGAGAGAGTAGGTAGTTCCAAGGTAGATCCTTGTTGTCTAAGCTATGTATGGAGGTAGATGGTTTAGGTTCCCAGTGCCCCCCATGTGGCCATTCTTTAGCCTGAGTTGAATGATAGATCATTTACATCCAGGGGTGTGATGGATCAATCCAGATATTCACCAGTGTCTGAGGTGTCACAATTGCATATAAGTATCTGGGTGTGGTTGTTTCTACCTCTGTAAGTTCAAGTTTTCTTGCTCTTTCTGTTTGATGATAATTTGTTAGATCACATCATGGGACAGAGACTGCACAGCAGCATTTTAGACTCTGGAGATCACTCATCTGAACACTGTGGCAAAAATACCAAGAGAAGGATTATGATCAGAGTTTGTAGTGACATCCTCATCTAGGAGCTGAGACAGCCCATATTAAACGAAGAGATGAGATCTCATACCAAATGAGAAGAGCCCACAGCACTACATATGGGGTTATTAGCTACATTACCCAAATTTTTTTTATTTGCTTCTGAGTCTTTTTCGTGCTATTAAAGATCCAAGACAGGTCAGCATGGATGTACCTATAATATTCTTTCTGTAAAACAGCACATCCCCCTTGAGAGGCCAATATTATATCTTAAGCAGCTCTATTCTGAACCACTGTCTGTCCAATTTGGTCTATACTCTTGGTGTCATGGTCTGACTCAACTGGGAGTCTTTGAACCATGACATCTAGGAATCTTCCTACTTAAAAATTTAATTAATTAATCAATCAATTAATTTTACTTATACGTAATAGATGTACATATTTTGGGGGTACATGTGATGTTTTAACATATTTATGTAATGCATATTAATCAAATCAGGGTATTGGAATATCTATCGTCTTAAACCATTTTCTTTATGTTGGCGACATTTGAATTATTCTCTACTAGCTATTTTGAAATATACGATAGATTATTGTTTAGTGCTGCTATTTATTTATTGAACAATAGTCTTATTTCTTCTATCTAACTGTATTTCTGTACCCATTAATCAACCTCTCTTCATACCCACCTCACCCCTACCCTCCTAGCCTCTGGTAACCATGAGTCTAGTCTCTGTCTTCAAGAGGTCCACTTTCTTAACTCCTGCATCTGAGTTAAAACACGTGAAATTGTCTTTCTGTGCCTTGTTTCACTTAACATAATCACCTCCAGTTGCATGCAGCATGCTGCTGCAAGTGACAGGATTTCATTCTTTTTTTATGGATGAATAATATTCATTGTTCATATATACCCCATTTTAAAATTTTTCATTCATCTATTGATGGGTACTTTCATTCATCTATTGATGGGCACTTACATACAAAATGTGTATGTATATACCACATTTTACATTTTTTCATTCATCTATTGATGGGCACTTAGGTTGAGTCCATATTTTGGCTATTGTGAGTAGTGCTAAACACTGGAGTGCAGATATCACTTCAATATATTAATTTCCTGTTTTAAGGGATAAATACTCACTAGAGGGATTGCTAAATCATAGGGTAATTGTATTTTTAGTTTTGAAGGAATCTCCATAATGTTCTCCATAATGGCTGTACTAATTTACATTGCCACCAACAATGTATGAGTGTCCTTTCTCTCCATCCATACCAGCATCCGTTATTCCCTGCCTTTTCGATAAAAGCTATTTTAACTGGGGTGAGATGATACGTGTGTGTGTGTGTGTGTGTGTGTGTGTGTGTGTGTGTGTGTGTGTTCAGAGTCTCATCCTGTCACCCAGGCTGGAGTGCAGTGGCACGATCACAACTCACTGCAACCTTGTCCTCCTGGGATCAAGTGATACTCTTGCCTGAGCCTCTGGAGTGGCTAAAACTACAGGCATGAGCTACCACACCCAGCTAATTTTTAAATTTTTTTGTAAAGATGGAGTTCCACTGTATTGCCTAGGCTGGTCTCGAACTCCTGGGCTCAAGCAGTCCTCCTGCTTTGGCTTCCCAAAGTGCTGGGATTATAGGCATAAGGCACTGTACCCGGCCTCATTTAGGTTTTGATTTGTATTTCCTTGATGATTAGTGATATTGAGCATTTTTTGTTACTTTTTCGTCATTTTTATGTCTTCTTTTGAGAAATGTCTATTCAGATCTTTCCCCCATTTATAAATTGATTTCTTTCTCTCTCTCTCTTTGTTTTGTTGTTGGGTTGTTTGAACTTCTTGTATATTCTGGTTATTAATCACTTGTTAGATGGATAATTTGCAAATATTGTCTCCCATTCTGTGGCTTATCTGTTCATTTTGTTGATTGTTTCCTTTGCTGTGCAGGAGCTTTTTAGTTTGATGTAATGCCATTTGTCCATTTTTCCTTTGGTTCCTTATGCTTTTCAGGTGTTACTAAAAAAATCTTTGCCCAGACCAATGCCCTGGAGTGTTTTCCCAATGTTTCCTTGTAATAATTTCATAGTTTGAGGTCTTTTAATTAAGTCTTTAATCCATGTTTATTTGATTTTTGTAAATGGTGATACATAGAGTCTAGTTTAATTCTTCTGCATATGGTTATCCAGTTTTCCCAGCATCAGTTTTTGAAAAGACTGTGCTTTTCCCAATGTATGTTCTTGGTGTCTTTGTTGAAAATCAGTTCACTATAAATGCATGGATTTATTTCTGGGTTCTCTATTCTGTTCCATTGGTCTATATATCTATTTTTATGCTAGTATCGTGCTGTTTTAGTTACTATAACTCTGTAGTATATTTTGAAGTCAGGTAGTGTGATGTGTCCAGCTTTGTTATTTTTGGTCAGGATTGCTTTAGCTATTTGGGGTTTTTGTAATTCTATATAAATTTTCGGATTGTCTTTTCTATTTCTGTGAAGAATGTCATTGTTATTTTGATAGGTAGTGCATTGAATCTATAGATCAGTTTGGGTATTACATTTTAACAATATTCTTCCTATTCATGAACATGGAATGGCTTTCCCATTTTTTGTGTCTTCTCCAGTTTCTTTCATCACAGCTTTATTGTTTTTCTTATAAAGATATTTTACTTATTTGGTTAAGTTTATTCCTAGATATTTTATATGCCTTGTACCTATTTTAAATGGAATTGCTTTCTTGATTCGTTTTTCAAATTGCTCATTGTTGGCATATATAAATGTTGCTGGTTTTTGTATGTTGATTTTATATCCTGAAACTTTACTGAATTCATTTGTCAGTTGTAAGAATATTTTGCTGGAGTCTTTATGGTTTTCTAAATATAAGGTCATATCATCTGCTAACAAGAGTGATTTGCCTTCTTCCTTCTAATTAGGATCACTTTTATTTCTTTCTCTTGTCTGATTATTCTGGCATAAACTTCCAGTTTTAGAAAATGATGCCCTCTTTCACTTTTATTCAACATAACAGTGAATAAAAGTGAAAGAGGGCATCATTTTCTTGTTCCAGATCTTAGAGAAAAGGCTTTCAAGTTTTCCTCATTCAGTATTTTGTTAGCACTAGGTCCATCATATATGGCTTTTGTTGTTTTGAGGTATGTTTTATTCTTTACCCAATGTATGAGCATTTTTACTATAAAGGGATATAAAATTTTATTAAATGCCTTTTCAGCATTTATTGAAATGATCATATGGTTTCTATTCTTGGTTCTGTTAATGTTTTGTATCATTTTTATTGATTTATGTATGTTGAACCATCCTTATATCCTAGGGATGAATCCTACTGGATCATAGCGAGTGATCTTTTTAATGTGTTGTTGAATTTGGTTTGCTAGTATTTTGTTGAGGATTTTTGTATCTGTGTTATTTAGAAATATTGCCCTGTAGTTTTCTTTTTTTGTTGTGTCCCTTTTTTGGCTTTGGTACCAGGGTAATGCTGGACTCATAGAATGAGTTTGGAAGTATTCTCACCTCTGCAATTTTTTTTTTCAGAGTCTGAGTAGAATTGGTATTTGTTCTTTAAATGTTTAATAGAATTCAGCAGTGAAGCTATCAGGTCCTGTGTTTTTCTTTGATGAGAAAGGTTTTATTATGGTTTTGTTCTCATTACTCATTATTGGTTTGTTCAGGGTTTTTTATTTCTTCAAGACTCAATCTTAGTAAGTTGTGTTTGTCCAGGAATTTATCCATTTCTTCTAGGTTTTCCAATTTTTTGGCCTATAGTTGTTTATAATAGTCTCTAACGATTCTTTGTGTTTCTGTGGTGTCAGTTGTTATGTCTCCATTTTTGCTTCTGATTTTATTTATTTGGGCTTTCTTACTTTTCTCTTAGCCTAGCTAAGGGTTTTTCCATTTTGTTTATCTTTTCAAAAAGGCAACTTTTTGTTTTGTTGATCTTTTATATTTTTTAAGTCTCAATTTCACTTATGTTTGCTCGAATCTTTATTATTCCTTTCCTTCTACTAAATTTGGGTTTAGTTTGTTCTTGCTTTTCTAGTTCTTTGAGGTGCGTAATTAGGTTGGCAAGTTGAAATCTTTCTGATGTAGGCATTTATTGCTATAAACTTTTTCCTCATTAGTGCTTTTGCTGTATCCTGTAGATTTTACTATGTGGTATTTCTATTTATATTTGTTTCAAGATATTTTTAAATTCCCTTCTTAATTTCCTTATTGACCCATTAACCATTCAGGAATATGTTGTTTAATTTCCCGATGTTTGTGTAGTTTCTAATGTGCCTCTTATTATGAATTTCCAGTTTTATTCCATTGTGATCAGAAAAGATACTTAATGTAATTTCACCTTTTTTTTTTTGAAGTTTTTGAGACTTGTTTGGTGGCCTAACATATGGTCCATTCTGGAGAATGTTCCATGTGCTGATGAGAAAAATGTATATTCTACAGCAGTTGGATGAAATGTTCTGTAAATGTTAGTTAGGCTCATATCTGTAGTGTAGTGTGTAGTTTAACTCTGATGCTTCTTTACTGATTTTCTGAGTGGGTGATCTGTCTATTACTGAGAGTGGGGTGTTGAAGTCCCCTACGATTTTTATACTGCAATCTATCTCTCCCATTAGATACATTAGTGTTTGCTTTATATACATGGGTGCTCCTGTGTTGGGTGCATAGATATTTAAAATTGTTTTATCCTATTGCCAGATTGACTGCATTATCATTCTATAGTGACCCTCTCTGGTTCTTTTACAATCTTTGACTTGTAGTCTATCTTATATAAGCATAGCTACTTCTACTCTGTTTTGGTTAATGTTTGCATGGAATATCTTTTTCAATATCTTCACTTTCAGTCTATGTGTATCTTTATGGATGAGGTGAATTTCTTGTAGATAGCATATAGTTGGGTCTTGTTTCTTCATCCATTCAGCCACACTATTCTTTTAATTGGAAAATCTAGTTCATTTCATTCAATGTTACTATTGATAGGTAAGGACTTACTAATGCCATTTCGTCACTTGTCTTCTGGTTATTTTGTAACTCCTCTCTTCCTTTTTTCCTGTCTCCTTTTGTGGTTAAGTGATTTTCTCTGGTAGTATGTTTTAATGTGTTTCTTTTTTTTAGTATATTTATTACAGGTTTTTGCTTTGTGGTTGAAATGTAGAAAAAAACATCTTACAACAAGTTATTTTAAAGAGATGACAACTTATCTTTGATCATAAAGAATAGAAACAAGCAAACAAACAGGAAAAACTAAAAAGACTCTACAGTTTAACTCCATCCCTTCCACATTTTTTAAGCTTTTTTGTTGTCTCCATTAATATATGTTTACATTGCCTATCCTTAACAGGCTGCTATGGCTATTTTTATTTTTGATAGCTTTGTCTTTCAGTCTTCATGGTAGAGTTATGAGTGGATTGTATACCACAATTCCAGTGATAGAGTATTCTGAGTTTGTCTGTTTACTTATTTTTACCAGTGGGTTTTATACTTTTAGATGTTTTCTTTTTGCAAATTAGTGTTGTTTTTTCATTCAGATTGAGCAGTTCTCTTTAGTATTTCTTGTAAGATGGGTCTGGTGGCGATGAATTCCCTGAGCTTTTTCTTTTTTTTGGGGGGGCGGGGTGGGTCTGGTATCAGGTAGTTTTTGTTGGGTATAGAATTTTTGGTGGACATTTTAGTACCTGGCCACCAATCCCCTACTCCAGCATTTTGGATATGTCATCATGGCCTGTATGGTTTCTGTTGAGAAGTCTGTTGTCAGACAAATTGAAGTTCCTTTATGTATTATTTGTTTCTTTTTTCTTGTGGCTTTTGTCTTTGCCCTTGACCTTGAAAGTTTGGTTATTATATGCCTTGTGATAGTTTTATTTGGGTTTCATCTATTTAATGATCTCTGACCTAACCATACCTGAATATGTATGTCTTTCTCATGTTTTGGAAAGTTTTTTGTTATCATTTCTTTGAATAAGTTTCTATCCCTTGCTCTTGCTCAGTTCCCTCTTGAACACCAGTGATTCTTAGATTTGGTCTTTTGAGGTAATTTTCTATGTCTTGTAGATATTCTTTATTCCTTTTTGTTCTTTTTAATTTTTTTCCTTCGATGTATATTTTCAGACAGCCTGTCTTTAAGCTCATTGATTCTTTCCTCTGCTTGATTCATTCTGCTCTTGAGAACCTCTGATAAAATTTTCAGTTCAGCAAATTTTTTTTTAGTTCTAGGATTTCTGTTTGATTTTTTACAATTATTTTAATTTCTTTTTTTAAAGTTATCTGATAAATTTCTGAGTTGGAGGGAGCCAAGATGGCCAAATAGGAACAGCTCCAGTCTACAGCTCCCAGCATGAGTGACACAGAAGACAGGTGATTTCTGCATTTCCATCTGAGGTACCAGGTTCATCTCACTAGGGAGTGCCAGACAGTGGGCGCGGGACAGTGGGTGCAGCGCACCATCTGTGAGCCGAAGCAGGGCGAGGCATTGCCTCACTCGGGAAGCGCAAGGGGTCAGGGAGTTCCCTTTCCTAGTCAAAGAAAGGGGTGACACACGGCACCTGGAAAATCAGGTCACTCCCACCCCAATACTGCACTTTTCCAACGGGCTTAAAAAATGGCGCACCAGGAGATTATATCCCGCACATGGCATGGAGGGTCGTATGCCCACGGAGTCTTGCTGATTGCTAGCACAGCAGTCTGAGATCAAACTGCAAGGCTGCAGTGAGGCTGGGGGAGGGGTGCCTGCCATTGCCCAGGCTTGCTTAGGTAAAGAAAGCAGCTGGGAAGCTCCAACTGGGTGGAGCCCACCACAGCTCAAGGAGGACTGCCTGCCTCTGTAGGCTCCACCTCTGGGGGCAGGGCACAGACAAACAAAAAGACAGCAGTAACCTCTTCAGACTTAAATATCCCTGTCTGACAGCTTTGAAGAGAGCAGTGGTACTCCCAGCACGCAGCTGGAGATCTGAGAACGGGCAGACTGCCTCCTCAAGTGGATCCCTGAGCCCTGACCCCAGAGCAGCCTAACTGGGAGGCACCCCCAGTAGGGGCAGACTGACACCTCACACGGCCGGGTACTCCTCTGAGACAAAACTTCCAGAGGAACAATCCGACAGCAGCATTCGCGGTTCACGAAAATCCGCTGTTCTGCAGCCACCACTGCTGGTACCCAGGCAAACAGGGTCTGGAGTGGACCTCTAGCAAACTCCAACAGTACTGCAGCTGAGGGTCCTATCTGGTAGAAGGAAAACTAACAAACAGAAAGGACATCCACACCAAAAACCCATCTGTACATCACCATCATCAAAGACCAAAAGTAGATAAAACCACAAAGATGGGGAAAAAACAGAGCAGAAAAACCGGAAACTCTGAAAAGCAGAGCACCTCTCCTCCTCTAAAGGAACGCAGCACCTCACCAGCAACGGAACAAAGCTGGACGGAGAATGACTTTGACGAGTTGAGAGAAGAAGGCTTCAGACGATCAAACTACTCCGAGCTACAGGAGGAAATTCAAACCAAAGGTAAATAAGTGGAAAACTTTGAAAAAAATTTAGACGAATGTATAACTAGAATAACCAATACAGAGAAGTGCTTAAAGGAGCTGATGGAGCTGAAAGCCAAGGCTCGAGAACAACGTGAAGAATGCAGAAGCCTCAGGAGCCGATGCGATCAACTGGAAGAAAGGGTATCAGTGATGGAAGATGAAATGAATGAAATGAAGCGAGAAGGGAAGTTTAGAGAAAAAAAAATATAAAAAGAAACAAACAAAGCCTCCAAGAAATATGGGACTATGTGACAAGACCAAATCTACGTCTGATTGGTGTACCTGAAAGTGACGGGGAGAATGGAACCAAGTTGGAAGACACTCTGCAGGATATTATCCAGGAGAACTTCCCCAATCTAGCAAGGCAGGCCAACATTCAGATTCAGGAAATACAGAGAACGCCACAAAGATATTCCTCGAGAAGAGCAACTCCAAGACACATAATTGTCAGATTCACCAAGGTTGAAATGAAGGAAAAAATGTTAAGGGCAGCCAGAGAGAAAGGTCGGGTTACCCACAAAGGGAAGCCCATCAGACTAACAGCGGATCTCTCGGCAGAAACTCTACAAGCTAGAAGAGAGTGGGGGCCAATATTCAACATTCTTAAAGAAAAGAATTTTCAACCCAGAATTTCATATCCAGCCAAACTAAGCTACATAAGTGAAGGAGAAATACAATACTTTACACACAAGCAAATGCTGAGAGATTTTGTCACCACCAGGCCTGCCCTAAAAGAGCTCCTGAAGGAAGCACTAAACATGGAAAGGAACAACCAGTACCAGCCACTGCAAAATCATGCCAAATTGTAAAGACCATTGATGGTAGGAAGAAACTGCATCAACTAACGAGCAAAATCACCAGCTAACATCATAATGACAGGATCAAATTCACACATAACAATATTAACTTTAAATGTAAATGGACTAAATGCTCCAATTAAAAGAAACGGACTGGCAAATTGGATAAAGAGTCAAGACCCATCAGTGTGCTGTATTCAGGAAACCCATCTCATGTGCAGAGACACACATAGGCCCAAAATAAAAGGATGGAGGAAGATCCACCAAGCAAATGGAAAACAAAAAAAGGCAGGGGTTGCAATCCTAGTCTCTGATAAAACAGACTTTAAGCCAACAAAGATCAAAAGAGACAAAGAAGGCCATTACATAATGGTAAAGGGATCAATTCAACAAAAAGAGCTAACTATCCTAAATATATATGCACCCAATAGAGGAGCACCCAGATTCATAAAGCAAGTCCTTAGGGACCTACAAAGAGACTTAGACTCCCACACAATAATAATGGGAGACTTTAACACCCCACTGTCAACATTAGAGAGATCAATGAGACAGAAAGTTAACAAGGATACCCAGGAATTGAACTCAGCTCTGCACCAAGTGGACCTAACAGACATCTACAGAACTCTCCACCCCAAATCAACAGAATATACATTTTTTTCAGCACCACACCACACCTATTCCAAAATTGACCATATAGTTGGAAGTAATGCTCTCCTCAGCAAATGTAAAAGGTCAGGAATTATAACAGTCTCTCAGCCCACAGTGCAATCAAACTAGAACTCAGGATTAAGAAACTCACTCAAAACCGCTCAACTACATGGAAACTGAGGAACCTGCTCCTGAATGACTACTGGGTACATAATGAAATGAAGGCAGAGATAAAGATGTTCTTTGAAACCAACAAGAACAAAGACACAACATACCAGAATCTCTGGGACACATTCAAAGCAGTGTGTAGAGGGAAATTTATAGCACTAAATGCCCACAAGAGAAAGCAGGAAAGATCCAAAATTGACGCCCTAACATCACAATTAAAAGAACTAGAAAAGCAAGAGCAAACACATTCAAAAGCTAGCAGAAGGCAAGAAATAACTAAAATCAGAGCAGAACTCAAGGAAATAGAGACACAAAAAACCCTTCAAAAAATTAACGAATCCAGGAGCTGGTTTTTTGAAAGGATCAACAAAATTGATAGACCGCTAGCCAGACTAATGAAGAAAAGAGAGAAGAATCAAATAGACGCAATAAAAAATGATAAAGGGGATATCACCACCGATCCCACAGAAATACAAACTACCATCAGAGAGTACTACAAACACCTCTATGCAAATAAACTAGAAAATCTAGAAGAAATGGATAAATTCCTCAACACATACACCCTCCCAAGACTAAACCAGGAAGAAGTTGACTCTCTGAATAGACCAATAACAGGCTCTGAAATTGTGGCAATAATCAGTAGCTTACCAACCAAAAAGAGTCCAGGACTAGATGGATTCACAGCCGAATTCTACCAGAAGTACAAGGAGGAACTGGTACCATTCCTTCTGAAACTATTCAAATCAATAGAAAAAGAGGGAATCCTCCCTAACTCATTTTATGAGGCCAGCATCATCCTGATACCAAAGCCGGGCAGAGACACAACCAAAAAAGAGAATTTTAGACCAATATCCTTGATGAACATTGATGCAAAAATCCTCAATAAAATACTGGCAAACCGAATCCAGCAGCACATCAAAAAGCTTATCCACCATGATCAAGTGGGCTTCATCCCTGGGATGCAAGGCTGGTTCAATATATGCAAATCAATAAATGTAATCCAGCATATAAACAGAACCAAAGACAAAAACCACATGATTATCTCAATAGATGCAGAAAAGGCCTTTGACAAAATTCAACAATGCTTCATGCTAAAATCTCTCAATTAATTAGGTATTGATGGGACGTATCTCAAAATAATAAGAGCTATCTATGACAAACCCACAGCCAATATCATACTGAATGGGCAAAAACTGGAAGTATTCCATTTGAAAACTGGCACAAGACAGGGATGCCCTCTCTCACCACTCCTATTCAACATAGTGTTGGAAGTTCTGGCCAGGGCAATCAGGCAGGAGAAGGAAATAAAGGGTATTCAATTACGAAAAGAGGAAGTCAAATTGTCCCTGTTTGCAGATGACATGATTGTATATCTAGAAAACCCCATTGTCTCAGCCCAAAATCTCCTTAAGCTGATAAGCAACTTCAGCAAAGTCTCAGGATACAAAATCAATGTACAAAAATCACAAGCATTCTTATACACCAATAACAGACACACAGAGAGCCAAATCATGAGTGAACTCCCATTCACAATTGCTTCAAAGAGAATAAAATACCTAGGAATTCAACTTAGAAGGGATGTGAAGGACCTCTTCAAGGAGAACTACAAACCGCTGCACAATGAAATAAAAGAGGATACAAAGAAATGGAAGAACATTCCATGCTCATGGGTAGGAAGAATTAATATCGTGAAAATGGCCATACTGCCCAAGGTAATTTATAGATTCAATGCCATCCCCATCAAGCTACCAATGACTTTCTTCACAGAATTGGAAAAAACTACTTTAAAGTTCATATGGAACCAAAAAACAGCCCACATCGCCAAGTCAATCCTAAGCCAAAAGAACAAAGCTGGATGCATCATGCTACCTGACTTCAAACTATGCTACAAGGCTACGTTAACCAAAACAGCATGGTACTGGTACCAAAACAGAGATATAAATCAATGGAACAGAACAGAGTCCTCAGAAATAGTGCCACATATCTACAACTATCTGATCTTTGACAAACCTGAGAAAAACAAGCAATGCAGAAAGGATTCTCTATTTAATAAATGGTGCTGGGAAAACTGGCTAGCCATATGTAGAAAGCTGAAGCTGGATCCCTTCCTTACACCTTATACAAAAATTAATTCAAGATGGATTAAAGACTTAAATGTTAGAGCTAAAACCTTAAAAACCCTAGAACCAAAAAACCAAAAAAACCTAAAACCAAAAAAACCTAGGCATTAGCATTCAGGACATAGGCATGAGCAAGGACTTCATGTCTAAAACACCAAAAGCAATGGCAACAAAAGCCAAAATTGACAAATGGGATCTAATTAAACTCAAGAGCTTCTGCACAGCAAAAGAAACTACCATCAGAGTGAACAGGCAACCTACAAAATGGGAGAAAATTTTCGCAACCTACTCGTCTGACAAAGGGCTAATATCCAGAATCTACAATGAACTCAAACAAATTTACAAGAAAAAAACAAACAACCCCATCAAAAAGTGGGCGAAGGACATGAACAGACACTTCTCAAGAGAAGACATTTATGCAGCCAAAAAACACATGAAAAAATGCTCACCATCACTGGCCATCAGAGAAATGCAAATCAAAACCACAATGAGATACCATCTCACACCAGTTAGAATGGCAATCATTAAAAAGTCAGGAAACAACAGGTGCTGGAGAGGATGTGGAGAAATAGGAACACTTTTACACTGTTGGTGGGACTGTAAACTAGTTCAACCATTGTGGAAGTCAGTGTGGCGATTCCTCAGGGATCTAGAACTAGAAATACCATTTGACCCAGCGATCCCATTATGGGGTATATACCCAAAGGACTATAAATCATGCTGCTATAAAGACACATGCACACGTATGTTTATTGTGGCATTATTCACAATAGCAAAGACTTGGAACCAACCCAAATGTCCAACAATGATAGACTGGATTAAGAAAATGTGGCACATATACACCATGGAATACTATGCAGCCATAAAAAATGATGAGTTCATGTCCTTTGTAGGGACATGGATGAAACTGGAAATCATCATTCTCAGTAAACTATCGCAAGAACAAAAAACCAAACACCACATATTCTCACTCATAGGCGGGAATTGAACAAGGAGACCACATGGACACAGGAAGGGGAACATCACACTCTGGGGACTGTTGTGGGGTGGGGGGAGGGGGGAGGGATAGCTTTAGGAGATATACCTAATGCTAAATGACGAGTTAATGGGTGCAACACACCAGCATGGCACATGTATACATATGTAACTAACCTGCACATTGTGCACATGTACCCTAAAACTTAAAGTATAATAATAATAAAATAAATAAAAAAATAGAAACTAAAAAAAAAAATTTCTGAGTTGCCTTTTTTGCTGTTTTGGAGAACACTGAGTTTTCTTAAAACTGCTATTTTGAAGTTATTTATCAGAGAGCTCACCTATCATTGTCTCATTAGGGTTGGTCACTGATTCCTTGCTTTTTCTTTTTGGTGAGGTCATGTTTCCCTATTTGCTATTGTTCCTTGTGAATGTACATCTTTGTCTTTACATTGAAGGATTAATTATTTCAGTCTTCTCTACATGGCTTGTTTTTGTTTTTATTCATTATGTTTGCTTAGAGATTTCTTTGCAACATATCTGTTTAATATCATTTCTGCCAGGTCACTGCCGCCTTTTAAGTACTTGATGGTGCCTTATGCCCAGGTTTGCTTTGGCTCTGGCAAACTTTGGACCCCTGTCTGTCCTGGATAGGGGAGGTCCCAAAAGTGATATCCCTACAGTGTGGGAAGGATAGGTAGGTGTTCATACCCAGAGAATCCGTTGAATGAATGCCCTACAGTGTGCTGCTGAACAGCCACTCTGATGTGATGTGTCATTTGGTCCAGACACAGAGCAGCATTTTCTGGGCTGGCGATGCTAGTCCCACCTCCCTGTCTTGGTCTCTGGCTGTCCTCAGAAGTTTTTCTCCTTTCAGGCACTCATGATGTTTTCCATTGGTTGAGGCAGGGCAGGTCTCCTGCCAGGGAACCCAAAATGGTGGGGAAACTGTTTGACCACCTCAATCTCACTTTTTCCACTGTAGTAACAATGAGTCAGAAACAATTCTGAAAGTAAGTATTAGTTTACCAAAGTAGGAAGTTTCTGTTCAACTGTGGGTAGTAATCAGTAGGCTTTTCTTCCATAAATACAGTAAATTCATTAGTGGTTACACAATGCTCTACTTTTGGTGAAAATATATCTATATGATTGTCGAGTAGCATTGTAACATTTTGGTGCCATTGGAAGAGTTTAGCATCACACAATGAAACTTGTATTGAGGTCATAGGTAAGTATGAAGCAAAAACAAACAAACAAAAAAACCAAAACCAAAACCAAAAAAACCACAAAAACAAGCAAACAAACAAAAACCCCCAAAGTAATGTGTCAAAATTGTGTGAAAAGGAGACGGCTTCCAAATACTCACCATATTAATAAACCACAGCTACCTGTCCAATTAGTGAATACTTTCTTAGAAATGAAATAATTTTTCTCTTGAGAATTCATTTATGCTTCCAGTTAATTTAGGGCTTTTTTGAAATGTGTCAGGCGGTTGCATATGCTGCAAAAATAATTATCTAAAACCTTGTTCTTTTTTATCTTACTGGAGATAAGTTGTGTATCTAGTGAAGCTTGTACCTAATGCAAGGTCCTTCATGGTTACTTCTCTTGTTTCTGTGCCCCTGATGCATGTACCTCTCCCAAATCTTTTTGTTTGGCCATGGCAGGAGTGGCAGCCCAAGTACTCCAGAGTCTTGCAAAATGCTTGTATGGGTCTGTGCCCTGTAAAGCTGTGTGGATTTTCATATGCCTATTGATAGTAATTTAGAAAATTTAATTGACAGTTGCGGAGGGAACAGATAAATCAAATACAGAACAAAGAAAGGTATAAGATGTTTTCACAATGCAACATTAAATTATACAAAATAAACTAATGTCTTGGGACAGCATTTCTGTCGTTTTGGACATAGCACACATAAAGCAAGCTACTGAGCCACATCAGAGCATCTTGCTGTATTTTGATGTATTCTTAAATGAAGGTAACCTAGGATGAGTTATGGTTGTGGAACCTTGTGTCTTCAAGAACTGGTTGAAGAAACAACACGAGGGCACATGAAAAATTACACCTTAGCTAACCACTGCTGCCACCACCACCACTACTATCACCACTGTAACACTATACTTTCTTGTCTGTTTTTATTATGCCAGAAATTGTCCTAAGTGGTTTATGACATTTTCTCATTTAACCTTATGGAAACCCTCTAAAGTAGCTATTATTAGTACTCCCATTTCATAGCCAAAGAAACCAAGGCTTAGAAAGCTTATGTAGCAGCCAGGAGTGGTGGTTCATGCCTGCAATCCCAGCACTTTGGGAGGCCAAGTTGGGTGGATCATGAGGTCAGGAGTTCAAGACCAGCCTGGCCAAGATGGTGAAACCCCGTTTCTACTAAAAATACAAAAATTAGCTGGGCGTGGTGGTGGGCACCTGTAATCCCAGCTACTCAGGAGGCTGAGGCAGAGAATTGCTTGAACCCGGGAGGTGGAGGTTGCAGTGAACTGAGATTGCGCCACTGCACTCCAGCCTGGGTGACAGAGCGAGACTCCATCTCAAAACAAAAACAAAAACAAAAAACAAAACAAAAGCCTATGTAGCATAGTTAAGGACATATAAACAGAAATGTGGTAGAGCTTGTATTTAAAGACAAGTCTCTGACTCAGCAACATGTGTTAGTGAAATTCCAGTTTAAGCATTTAAGTGTTTGTATGTGGAAGCAGCCCCTATGATACCTAAAAGTGAAGTGAACATCAACACTTCACAGAGTCAGTAGAATCATTAAACTTATAACCTGTCTACAGTGATGTCATAGAAGTACCAAGTGGGATATCTGGGAAAAGGGAGCATTTAAATATACAATTGGGGAAATTTCTGGTTAGTGGCTACAATTCCTCTAAGAGCCTAGGTCTTAGATGGGGATAAGGGAGAGTTATGACCCTACAACCAAGTCAAAGTATTTTTAATCCAGGAAAAGTAGAATCATCTTTTAGGCCTTTGGAACAGACTAACAAACAGAATTTGGAGGGAGTGGTAGTCATACATCAGACTCTCAGAAATTGCCTTTTGAGTAGGAGTGGAGGTCTCTTGACACTGAGACTTATGATTGGAGAAATCCAATTTGAAGTTCTATAACAGAGTAGGTAGTGTGGAAGGGATATACTTCACAGTAAGAGGAATTCATTTTACTTCTGGGTCTCTAAGACTTTCTTGTGAAGTAATAGGTCTACTCTGACTTAGGAAAAGAACCTCTTGTAAAGAACAGAGTGGCTTTTACTAGATACTTTCAAAGTCTAGGCTTTCTGTGTATTTCTTTCCATTATACTGAGAGTTGGAAGGAGGGACTAACATAGTGAGAGCGTGGAAATACTGGCCATAGCCTTTATGTCTTCTAACATTTTGAGAAAACATAGGGTCTATTTTTTGCTACTCAAATTCTCCAACTAATGTTTTAAACTCAAATTTTAGATTCTTCTTTGGAGGAAAGCAGGCTCTTCACTGTTTACAAGGTTATTTTTGAGTTGCAAAATTCTGTTTCTTCTCCGTATTCCTCCATTCAGTTTTGGCTGTCACAATCAGAAAGCTTGAGGACACTTTTTTTCTTGCATCTGTAGTGGAAACCTTAGCAGTACATAATAACTGCTCCAGGTCTGTTAAATAGATGCATTCTCTAATCAATATTTATATTTCAAAGGATCTTGCGTTTTAAGGAAAAGATTCACTGTAGAATTTTTAAATACAGTTATTAAAGTACACATTTACACATCACAAATTATTTTGAAGTGACTAAAGAGAAAAGGAATATACATGTAAAGAGTTAGAAGCCACTTTAATTGGCTGCCAATTGGAGAGCAATCAGAAACAAAGATAAACTTCTCTTAAGGCAAAATGTGAGTCAATTGGAAAACCAGATTTGTTTTACAAAAATTCCCACAGACATAACTTATCAAGCATACTTATACTGGTATTGTGTCATGTTGTCACTGATCACTTCTCTTTGTCTTGTTTTTACGTAGTTGATTCCACAAGCTATTGTTGTCCCAGTAATGGGAAGTCAGCTTTCGGTGACAGTTCATACCATAAGGATCCCCTCCTTGGGTAAGGAGCCTGCACCAAAGATAGTCATCTAGCATTTGTTTTTGTAATTTCAAATCAGTGTTCAGCATTGACAACCTATCAAGTAGAAAAATAATGGTATCTTACCTTTATATAACATATGTTTTATGAAATTTCTGCATGTTTCTCTATAGGTGAGTTCAGTGTTATATTTGGAACTTTGTGTTTCTTATATTTTAGTCATTTATAAATAATACAGAGGCTATCCATGACCTTATTTTTTAAATTGCAAGTATCCCTGTTTAGACTGGTATAATATATATTTGGTTGTGGAATGAGAAATGGGATTAGTTTCCACGCTTTTTGAACAGTGTTTGTTATTAAGTGAAAGAAAAAAGAAATAAAGGCAAAAAAGAAAGATAAAGGCCCCAACTTAAAGCCTGCCTTCATGATCCATAAGTACCCACTCTTTTTGTCTAGTCAAAACCCTTTACATAAATGTAGTGTTATGATCCCCATGTGTTGGGCTCTGTGCTAGTCACAAGATACAAAATGGAATAAAATATGGTCCCCACTTTTAGGGAGTTTGCAGTCTAGTTCAGGAGATGGACCAGTTCACCATCAACTATTTTTCAATTTGCTCAATGCTATTACAGATTGGTTTAGCTAAAGTGCATTTTCAGAGTCTAGTGGAGGTTGAACAATTCTGCTTGACTAGAAAGAGAGAGCTGGATAATACTTCACAGGAGTCTTGACACTGGAAGTGGGTTTTGGAAGGTGAATTGGGATTGAGAAGGGGATGAAGAAGTTAGTAAAGCTTACATTGGACCTATAAGCCACAGCCTATCAGACAACTGCTGTGTCTGGCGCATGAAGTAGGTGGGAGCTGGGCTTCTGCTGAGATGTGGTCTGCAAAGTTAGAGTGGAGGCTGCTTATTGATCATGGGGCAGCAGAAGGTGGACAGGAATTCATGCAGTAATGGAGGAAAGGTGTGTGAGAGAGAGACATGGGAGAGATGAACTAGGCAGAGACACATTCCCTGTACAGTCTTACTTAAATTTCATATTAGAAGCACATAACCAGTTTTTTGTTGTTGTTCAATTCAACTTCACAGATATTTGCTGAGCATTTAATATATGTTTAAAAAGAGGTCATACAGGCTATATTTATATGATATCACCATGGGTGTGAATGATATCTCCCAGGAAGACCATGCAGAGAAAACACAAACGGTAGCAGGGTGGGGAGGGGAGAACTGACGTAAGAGATGGACCAAAATAGCATGATTGACAAGGTAGGAAGAGACCCAGGGGAGAGTAGCCGTGGAGGCCAAGGGTAGACATTCAGGAAACTAGGAGTGGTTAACGGTGTCACAAGCTGCAAAATGGTAAAATAAGAAGAAAACTGCAAGTTGACACTTAGAAGATCATTATGAATGGGATACAGAGCAAGTAGGCAGTGGGGGTCCTGGGGATGGAGGGTAGCAAGTAGCCATCTCCCAATTTCACCTAGAGCTGACCCTGTACAAAGGAGTCTTATTTAAAGTGATTTGAATACTTTGTTAACAGCTCTTAGAAAAGGTTGGTTGAGGAAGGAGATTGAAGCTCTTGGCTTAAATTAAGGTTCTGGATTATTTATGGATTTAATTTATCCCTGTGATCCATGTCCCCAGTTGACACAAGCTATCAAGAGTTAGCTGCATTCTTTTCTTCTTGAAAAAGTATGAAGAATATTTAATCATAACTGAGCTGCACTAATAGAAATTTTAATAAAACTGGGCTGAGCTAGGACTGGGAGGTTGCATAAGCAATCAGAGAGTGTGAATGTTCCTCTGGGTGCGCTCTGTGCACTTGGCATAATTCTTAGGACTGAAATATAGTATTTAATCCGAAAAGCTCACAGCGTTTTCATAAATGCAGTTTAATTTAAAGTCTATGCAAGCATATGCGGTACATAAAGCACAATTTTCTGGGACTTTTAAGCCTCTCTACAACTTAGATAAAAGTTAAAAGAATAAAATCTTTGATAAATTTGATAGCATGTTCATTTAAATTGTTTACCTTCAATGGAAATCCAAGTAAAGATTGAAACTCCACCTGCCTTTCTACATACTCAGTTTTTCCTTGAGGATAAATAAGAAGGCCTGAAGAATTATTGTCATCTGGAGCTTAGAGGTCATCTAGCACAGTGTCTTCATTTTGCAGTGAGGAAACTTAGAGCCACAGAGGAGAAATGACTTTTCCAAGGTGCATTACTGTTAGTGTCAGTGCTGGGAGTAGGGTGAAACCCCACATTGCTACTATTGCTGGCAATAAAAAAAGCAATATGACTAAAACACTACAGATTCTTCTAACTCCTCCTTCAGACCTCTTTAATCCTGCTAGAGTTTTCTTTCCAAAAACAAATCTGATTGTGTCATTCCTTCCAAGTTAAAGTCTTCAGTGGCTCCTCTGAATAGTAGCCAGACCCCTACCTATTTCTCTGGTCATATGTACCCAACCACTGACCCTCATGGGCTACTTAACCATGTGCAGTCCTGGGACTCATCTTCTCTCATGGCTTTTCATTATGTCTTCCTGGGAGACCCGTCCACCTCCCTGGTGCTTAACAACTCCTGTTCATCCTCCAAAATTCAGCCTTGTACTGCCACCTCCCAGGAGCCTTCCTGCACCTTCTCCCTTTGTGCTCCCATATTCTATGCGGTTGCATTTCTGTTGTAATACCTGCCACACTGACTGATGACTGTTTGCTTATATGTTTAACTATTTGCTTATATGTTTGACTGTTCAGCTAGAAGATCCTTGAGTGCAGAGAGAATGTTTTACCCATTTTGACATCCTGAGTGTACAATGCCTGGTGTGTGTAGGGTTCAGTAAGTGCTTATGGAATTGAATTGAACACTAACAACAAATCCAGAGAATTGTGAGTCTCTAATAGAATATTTAGATGACAGTATATCCTATGAGCCCTCACCAGTTTGAAACTAGCCTAGTTCGTCCACCTCTTCTGCCAGTTTTCCATAACCTTTGGAGAAATTGGTCAACTTGTTATTCCCTAGGGACACCGTATGCATTTATTCTTCCCACTGTGCCTTTGTCCATGGCATTGTCTCTGCCTGGCAAGCCCCTCCTTGTTTATTTAGCAGTTATTGACTACCTTTGTGTCCGACATTGTGTTGGACTCTTTATCTTTTCCTTCCTAAACAGGACTCTACTGTTTGAGGCTTCTTCAAGTCCTACTCACACTTGCATCTTTTTCTAATCAATGGTCCCAGTCCTCATCACTTTACTACTTCCTATAGGTATGGCACATTGATATTTAATAAATGCTACCTTTTATGGTTATTTTTCATTCTGGGCATATTACATACCTATTCAACTAAATTATAAGGCTCTTGAGGGCAGAACTGTATTTTCAGTGGCAAACTTTATGTAGAGTCTTAATACATGTTGGTCAGTGATCAAGAGGACTTGAGGGGCACATTTTTATGCTGAGGCTCTGTCATTGTGCAGTGTGTTTGTGAGGATGCTATTCATGGAGACAGGTCAGGATGGCGGTGGTCAGGGATTCTGGAATTGAAGGGCAACTTTGGGAAGCATAATTGTCCGAGTTCATTAAAAGTAAATATCTCCCAGATGGAAAGATTAGATCATGTAGAGATTTCCCCAAATTGCATTGATTTATAGGCTTAATACCATAGCAGTTAAAATCTGATTGGGATGGGGAATAATTTATCCGAAAAAATAAATAGAATTTACAAAGGAAATTCTGAAAAAGTATATTGTGAGAGGCTACTTTATTTAGCCTTTAAAAAGCTACAATTATTAAAATATTTTAGTACTCATTCACAAATTAAAAAATATATTTTTCCTTTGTTGTTTTATGTATGTGTGCATGTTTTGTATTATACTATAGTGCAAATGTAAAAAATGCCTGTAAACAATCTCATTTTGATATGAGTCTTCACTTGAGGTAATGGTGGAAAAAAGCTTTAATATGCTTTCCCTCCCTTCCCAAACACCGCAGGGCAAGAAGCTGGATTACAGTGAAAGAAAAGGCATTGAGAAGTTTTTTTTTTTTTTTTTAAATCATGGTCCCTTCACATAAAAAATAATTATATTATTCCAGAGATAACACAAAACAGAGGCAAAGGTCAGAGTTTTTCTATACATATTGTTAGGATGTCCAGTTAGCATTTTGGGGGTGGGGGGATGGGGGAATCTAGTAAAATAAATACCAAATAGATTAAGTAATTAAGTATAAAAATCAAACCACAGTCCAGTGTGAAAAAACAAACCGAAGATTTTTCAGACTCTGGAGGGGGTATACTTTACATACGTGGGGCTCAGAAAGGGCTTAGTGATGGCTTCATTGCACATGAAGATCTACAGTACTCATACTGACCCTGTCCAGCACTGGGTCCCCAACAGCAACTGGCATATATCAGGTTCCACGGTTACTTGTAAGAATGTGGGGATGCATGGAGTGTAAATGAACGTGTAGACCTTCAGACTGATTGGCTTTGAGAGTTCTCTGTGTGCATGTGTGTGTTTTGGTTTCCTTTGAACTCTAGAAAGAGGAGAGAAGAGGAAATGCCCTCATGGGACTTCTGTGTCACCATTTCTGACACTTCAGGGCTGTGTCATTCTTCATGTATTATTGGAAGGAGGTGCAAAGGAGGACAAGATCTCAACCAAAAGAGAGAGAGATAAAAAAAAATGAAGTTCTTTTAAGGATGTAAGATGGGGAGTGGAATGTGGTGGGATTGTATTCTAAATGCTTTTTAAGCAATTTTAATCATCTTTCTATTTCTTTGGTGGCAAATAAAATGTCTGCCTCTCAGGACTCATGTCTTTTTCTCTAGCTAAAAAGTACTTGTAAGCTGGAAAAGAAGCTCCTCCATCTGGATTTTTCTTAGTTTCACAACTGCTTCGTTACAGACATCAATAGGCCCATCACACTATAGTCATAGCTGGCTTAGTTGGCTTTCTGAGGACAGAGCTGTATCTGCCTGGCTCACCATTGTATCCCCTGCATTTATCTGTTACCTATTTTAGAGTAAAAACTTGAAAACATTTGTGGAATGAATAAATAAATGCCTATTGCTTATCTTCAGAGAGTGGTAGAGACCTCTAAGACATAACCCTTGATTTGGAGTTTATCATGTGAAAATATCTGGCCTTTATTAACACTTTCTTTGTGGCATTGTGTTTTCAGAGAACGCTCAGTATTAGACTTTCCTACATTAATTAGCCTTAGAGACATATGAATCCAGAATACATTACAGTCATTTGTCTTGGACTTGTTCATGCACTGAGTTCATTGTTTTATTTTGAGCACAGCTCCTTCTTCCCCTCTGTACTGTAAAGTTATTAATAGAACTAGGAGCTTCCCAGCTTCGGTGACATGCCTGAGAGGGATGTTCAAAAGAGATAGAAGGATTCATCTCCTAAGTAATTTGTATGCTTGGAGTACCACTCCTTAGAAACCCTGCTCTTTGTTGCTAACGTGGTTCATGATAGGGCTGGCATGCAGGAGTGAAGGCAACCAGGGAAGACAGGGAGAAACTGAAGCCTAGAACTAAATCCCTCCTGTCCCCACCCCAAGACTGGACAGGTGCTAAGGGTGGGCCAGATGGAGGCACTAGCTAGCAGTGGGAAGAAAGAGTCATGAGGCAGTCCTGGAAGAGGGTGTAAATGTAGACAGCAGGCAGAAAGGCATCTGGGAGATGAGTTAACTGTGGTGGTTAAGAACAGTAGGTTTTGGAAGCAACACAAGTGTCCATTAATAGATGAACTACAGACCGTAACTCCCTTGTCCTCTGCCTTCCACTTTGGTTTGGCCAATGGGCACTGGCAGCAAGTGATAGGAGGGTGACAGGAGAGAATCCTACAGCTTCACGCCTGCTGGGCTGCATGCTGGCAGCCACTGTGCCCCTGCAGTACTTTCTCCTGTGGCTAAAGCTCTCTCAGAGATTGCCTGTGTGGGGTTAGCGATGATAATCACTTCCTACTATTGTTAGCCTGGGGTGCCTCCCCATCTCTTATTGGTTTCATTAAGCCTGTCTGCACCTCTGTACAACTATGCTTGATTAAACTCTCTCCAGAGAGCCACGTGTTTCCTGCTGAGTTCTTGACTACTGCAGTGATACAGTGCTATTACCAGAAAGAAGGGGATGGATGCAGGGCAAACAATAACAACAGATGTCTGGCAGCAACTGATGCTGACCCACCATGGCCCCCTGGATTATAACTCTCCACTCATCCCCCACAGACAGGATTGGGCCCACAGCTGTCCAGTTACCCCAGATGTGAGAAGAGAATAAAATTGGAAAAAGAGAATCTAGAAGGGCCTGACAGCAGCCCAGAGTGACCAGAGAGGAGTTTTGTCCTATGCATTTGTACAGATATTCCTCTAAAAGGAAGGACTCCTTACATTTCTGTTGGGAAGTCAGATACTTTCCCTTTCCCTAGTGTGGATGAGCAGGTGGTGGTCCTACATTCTAAAAGAATTGCATTTTGGGGTGTCATAGGCCTTTTGAATTTAAACTGTCTTCATGATTTCTTTTAAAGAAGATTTGATTGAAAAACAACTCCCAAATCAGAGGAGTATCTTCTGTCAATGCTGTGTAGTCAGTCTTGACTGCATTGTTAGCATCCTGCAAATTGTGAAGTGACAAACACTCTTGTTTCTGAACTTTCCATTTTAGCCACTTCTTCTTGTGTCATTCCAAAAAACGAGCAACACATGGATGTGATGTGGGAGACTTTATTAATGTCATATCAGCTCAGAGGTGTCCTTTGTGCCAGTCTCTGAGCATGGGATGACACTTCCAAACAGGTTATTACTTCCATGAGTTATTGGGTTGCTAATCACCCCATTTACAGAGTGATCCCATTACATTACCCTGCAGTGTTCAATTAAGGGAGCTTAGACCAAAGCCCATATTTAAGAGCGCTCCCTTTTCTGTTTCATCTTGAGGTTTAAATTGAATTCTCTGATGTTGGTAGAGCAACCTGAATCATTTCCTAATTCAGCTAAAAATAGCAGAGGGATCATAAATGCGGACCCCTTTCTCGATGTGAGTACTATCACGGGTGGGGAAAATGCGTCGTATTTGCTGGGAGAGGCCACTTAAATTCTCTTTTGGTTTCCATTAAAATCCTGCATGCATTGTACTCAATCACAACTGCAGGCTTAGATGTCAGAACGCTCATTTTCATAAATAGGCTTGGAAAACATAATCACATTCAACCCTTGCTGTTTTGAACTCTGGAGTAACTTTAGAGAACACACTATTTTAATTAACACTTATTTATAAAAGTTAAGGTCAAAATTCCAGTTTGTTATAATTCAATTATAGAAGGAAATCAGGGATTTCTTTTATAAGGTTTTCTTCTGCTGCTCCTGCCTCTTTTGAGTATGTGTGTGTATGTGGGAGTCAAGGTTAGCCTTGTTAGTTAGGCTATTTTTATTTAAATATGTTGAAGTCTACAATAAAACATTACACAGACGTTCCCCAAGTTGCGGGCATGATGGCTTCAAGGTTACTTCGTGGAGCTGGAGCACTGGCTGCGAAGGCCCTGAGGGCCTGTGGTCCCAATGGGGTGGCCGTGGTGTGCTCCATGGCATCTGGAGGTGGTGTTCCTATTGATGATGAGCACACGACTGGATTGGAGATGGAGGTCATGATGGTTGCAGGGAAGGGACTGGACCTATACAGTATATGACCCCCAAAGGCAGCTTCAGGCACCAAGGAAGACCCTAATTTAGTTTCCTCCATCACCAACAAGAGTATAGTGGGCTGCATCTGTGAAGAGGACAACTGTGCTGTCATCTGGTTTTGGCTGCACAAAGGCGAGACCCAGCAGCAATGCCCTAGCTGTGGAACCCATTATAAGCTGCTGCCCCACTAGGTGGCCCACTGAGCCCATGCACTAAGTTACTCAAAATGTGCTGTAAAGTTTTTCTTTCCAACTAAGACTAGCTGTTGTATTGGCTGATATACCAGATCAGGCTGTATAACTTATCTGTGAATGCTTCTTGTATATGTGGTGCCAGTTACAACATAATAACTCCTCCTCTACCTTCCCCACTGCCAAGCTATTCTGCTCTCCTTTCCTTCTTGCCATTCATTAGTTCCAGAGAGCAATCTTGGGGTTCTTGGACACTAATGCCAGCTAAAGTCTGACTTAGGCAAATTTCTGACCTACTTACCTCTTCTCCATGACTTTCCTTCTTTCTTTTGAGGCAGTTATTCATGTAGAATAGTTTTCATTGCCTTATCTTTCCTTTCTTTTTGAATTTTTGCTCAATTTTTTGAGAAAAGCTAGTTTTTTCCCTTTTCATTTTCTCCCCATTTCTGCATTTTCCAAGCTAGGGGACAGGTGAAAATAGGCAATAGTCCATCTCTGGTGAGAGCTGGCCTGGGCCAGTGTGCCTGCCTCAGGGAGCCGTCTAATAGCCTTTTTAGTTCCCTTACTGCTCCTTACCACTAGGAGTCCTGAGTGACCCTATTCATAGCTGCTAAAGATCAGAGCAATGCTGGTGATGCACGTGAACTGAGAAAAGCAAAACCATCCACTTGGGAGGGAAGGGCGCGGCATCAGACACATTAGCTGTGAATACCATGTCTTGAAATTTCTTTAAAGGCCTCTTCAGAATTCCAGAATTTCTACCTTGGTCTTCATCTTCTTCAAATTAAATATACATTTTGTTTTACACTATTATTCAAGATATATGGAGAAAGTGAAACAGGTTCTTAATTGATTTTTATTATTTTCTGCTGTAATTGTCAGTAGTGTGGTAGTTTACTGCTTTTTATTGCAATTACATAGCATTCCAGTTATATTAGTGATTAAATAGGCCTTTATGGTGTAGCCTATAAAATTATCTCTATGGGGAAAGTAAACTCTAGTCTTTAACACCTAACTTATGAAAGAAATTTTTAGAAGTCCTCCAGATTGTAAATAGGAGACCCACTCCATAGCATGGAATGTGCAACACAGATGATCTTTATTAAGCCCACTCTCCATTCTGCCAAGACCCAAGAGCTCATTTAATGTCAAATGAAGAAGGCATTTCTTTATAATTGAATTGGCTTTTAATCCCCTATAGAAATTGAGGGCTTTTCCTTTAAGTCATGTTGACTGTCATGACTTTGAGTTGTATACAAAGGCCATATTCACGGATGTTTGTGGAATTTAATATGGTATAGAAGCCCAGCCAAATTTCTAAAAAATATAAATAAACACACACTTTGTATGCTTATTTTTTTTTTTAATTGGAGAGGTTAAAGAACTATTGTAGATCTGCTTTTGGGCTAGTGTGAATAATTTGCCAACATTTACCCTGTTTCAATTCTCCTAGCCCAAGTTACCACTGTCCTTGGCAGGTGAGTATTTCTCAAATCATTCTTTGTAGATCATATATCTATTTCAGTTCTCTGGGGTGCTGGTTAAAATGCACATTCCAGGGAGATATCCTACACCTACATCTTCTTACTTGGAATCTTTGGAGTTGGAGTTGGGAAAATGGAACGGTTAACAGCCCCCTAACTGATCTTTATGAACTCTAGAGTTTGAGAAGCATTGATCCAGACTTTCTTTCTCAGGATTTACATGGTTGACAATGAATGTGTTGATAATGGTCCATTTTGATTCAGGGCTTAGTTTTGCTGGACCTCCGTTTTCTGGATTTTTGACTTCTTCTTTGGAGTAGATTTGTATTAGTTTTCTAGGGCTTCCATAATAAAATACACAGGTCGGGTGGCTTAAATAACAGAAATTTATTTTCTCACAGTTCTGAGAGAGACTAGAAGTCCAAGATCAAGCTGTCAGCAGGGTTGGTTTCATCTGGAGGCCTCTCTCCTTGGCTTGTAGATGGATATCTTTGTCTTCACATGGTCTTTCCTCTGTGTATGTGTATTGTTTGTGTCTTAATCTCCTCTTCTTATAAGGATGCCAGTCATATTGGATTAGGGCCTGTCTATATGACCTCGTTTTACCTTATTTAGCTCGAAAGCCTCTATCTCCAAATACAATCACATTTCTAAGGTACTGGGGTTAGAATTTCAACATATAAATTTTAGTGGGAAATAATTGAGCTCATAACAGTCTAGATGGATTTCAAAACATGATATGAATAAGTGAAAGATGAACACTTGATTTCATCTCAAGTTTCTTTCCCCATCCTGGCTCTGTCCATTAGAAGGAAGTCTACTACTGATTGGTCTCTCTTGTCTAAGGCAGCAGAAGGGAAGTAGGGACAATGACAACTTGCTTTTCATTGGCCCTGTTCCTCATACGATCTATTTATTTGCTTTAGGCTCAACGGTTATAAATGACTAAGGGTGGCAATTCTCAAAGGGAATCTCAGAAGTAAAAACTCTTGTCATAATATTAAGAAGACATTCTTTGCCTTTTTGGGTGACATTTGCACTGATTGTGTAGAAGCAATGGTGGCTAAAACTGTTGGTGCTTTAGCATGACTTAATGCAGTAGCACCAAACTGTATAGTAATCTTTATAATTTCACCACTGTGCATTTGCACTGCAGGAAAAAAAATGCCTGTTTCACTTAAGAATGCCCTTGATGAAATACTAAAAACTATTAAGTTTGTTAAATCTTAACCCTCGAGTACACATTTCTTTAGTATTCTGTGTGATAAAATGGAAAGTATGCATACAGCACTTTTGCTCCATTCAAAGGTTCAGTGGCTGTTTTGAGGAAGAGCACTGTGCAGTTGAATTGTGAGCTGAACTAGTCTCTTTTTTCATAAAATACCATTTTATCTTAAAAGAACAAGAGATGAACTATGATTATTTAGATTCAGGTGGCTAGCAGACATGTTTGCAAAAATGAATGAAGTAAGTGTATTACTTCAAGGAAGCAACTGACAGTATTTGTTGCCTGTGATAAAATTCAAGCTTTCAAGAGAAAATTAGCATTTTAGAAATCTTCTATCTGTTACTATGAGCTTAATACCTTACAAGCAGTTGAAGATTTTTTTCGGTGAGGTTGGTTATTAACAAATGTGATTTTGGGGATATTATATAATGAAATGGGTCAACATTTGGGAATTCTGCATAACTCACTGAACCAATGTTTTCAAAATGACCAATGCAAGATGCTACAAAAGATCTATTCAAAGTGTAAGATAGACCAACACATTTTAATGTAACAGAGTATAAAATGTTCATGGTATGATTTCAGACTATACATTGCAACTAACCCTTAAGAAATTACCACTTGTCAAGTTTTGGCATATTATCAGAGAAGAATATCCACAATTTTCTGAAAGGATCATTACAAATACTCTTTCCTTTTCCAACCTCATATCTGAGTGAGGCTGGATTTTCTTCATTTATTGAAAGCAAAAACCTATCAAAATAGATGAAATCAAAAGCAGTTTTGAGAATCTAGCTATCTTCTTTTTAAGCTAAACATTAAATAAATTTGCAAAAATGTAAATGTCATCTCACTATTTTTTTCTGTTTTGGTGTATACATACAATGTGTTTGTTAACATGGAGTGAATTTATTCTTGCTATTTTAAGATGAATTAATAAATACATGTTTAAACATTTCTCAACTCCAATTTCTAATAAGGTGAATATTAGTAGATATAACCCATATAAACAAAAGCTTTTTGGGAACTTCAAACTTCAATACTTTTAAAAAGTATAAATGGACTTTGAGACGAAAAAGTTTGAGGACTGCTGACTTAGGAAGACATTTTTCTAGCTATGTTGCAGCAAATGATTTAGAGTTAACTTTGATTCATAGTATGTTTAAAGAAAAATATATTCACTATGTGAATACTAAATATAGTAAGCTTGACTTGCTTTTTTCTCATTGGGAGAAAAATCATAATAATATTCCATATCAAAATATTCTTATGCATGGCTTAATGCCTGGTTTACCTTTGCTAATCCCAGATCAGTTTAGATAATCATGAACAAACTGGAAGAAAAAAAAGCCCTATATAAGAACTAATGTTTTTGAGAGCTGTTTTCAATGTAATGAAAATTTATTTAAGTTAACAGATTAAAATCTTCCCTACAGAAACGCACTTGGAAATCTTCCCATAAGCATGTTCTTTTCTTCATTCTGCCTGTTTTGTTGCGTTCCAATTTAGAGGACATTTGTTTCCTTCCTTTCCTTCTCTTTTTTCTTTCTTGCCTCTCGTTTCACTCATTTTCTTCCTTCTTTCCCTTTCCTTTATTAGAGCTGCAGGCATTTCTTCATGTGCTGCAGTTTTTGGTTTCTGCCAGTGTCCTCTAAGAAAAGATGCTGACTTGGTAAATATGACCAAGGCATTGCCAAAGTGTAGGTCAGTCTTTGCATTCTCAGCTCTAGAACTTAAATAGTATGTAAATTTCAAATATCAACACTGGAGTCTGTGCTGTGTTTCTAGTCTTAGATTTCTAGATGCTAGAAGGAAGTTTAGGGGAAAGGATTTTAACTTAAAACTTATACCTCCTGTAATAGAAGAAATGACTTCAAAATACATTCTACTATTATACTGTGTTTTTCATAGATTTCTTTCTCATTTTTTCCTCTAGTCTAAAAGTCATTCCCGAGTTGGCCTGAAATCAAGCACCAAGCAAAAGGTATGTTTTTTCTTCCGTATTGTTCCTTTAAAAAATAATTATTTTGGGTGGGTGCTTTTATTTATTTATTTATTTATTTATTTATTTATTTATTTATTTATTTATTTTTCTTCCTGAAGAGAATGACTTGTCTTTGGATGGCCAGGGCATACCCAGAAACAAAGTAGTTCTTATTCCCATATGCTTTGCCTTCATAATAGCAAAACTGAAATGGGAGAGGGATCCTTGAAATGAAATATAATTTGAGGGAGATTCTTGAAACCCAGTGACAGAACCTGAGAATTTTCCCATGACTTACAAGCAATTCTGAAAGCAAGGTCAGAAGATACTGTGCTATATTCAGCTCTTTTATTTTCTAAGCACTTCACAGTGAAGGAATTGTTCCTATCTCAGTTCATATTTTTACTAAACTTTATTCTCTCAACATGTGTTGTGGAGAATAACCCTCACTTATGACCTGTGATGAATTGGTTAAAACATGAGCTCTGTGAGTCAGAAAGAATTGGTTTCAATTCTTGGTTCTGCCACTTTGCTATGTGATCTTGAACATATTTGTATAGAGAAGATGATCATACCCACTGGGGTAGCATATGTTAAGGATGAAATGAGATAATATATGTGAAAACACTTATATCCCAGTACCTGGTGCAAAGTAGCCTTTTAATAATTTTGAGGTTCTATATTTCATTGATAGTTTAGAAATTCAAAGAGTAGAAAATTTGAAATTTCAAAATATTAATTCTCAGACAAACACACATGAGTACACACATACACACTTAAATTATGTTAATTCCTGGTGATACATGGGGCAAGTTCGGAGAAGTTCATGTTTAATTTTAGAGAGGTTCATATTTACATATTATTCTTCCACTGTAGAAGTTTGCACTGATGGGAGTACTTGCCTAGCTTTTCAGAATAATGCACATAGTAACTCAGAATACCTTTCTTGATGCCAACTGTCAGAGAAAAAACACTGCAAAAATTCAAAGCATCTAAGAGGTGCTGAAGAGGATTAAAAGAGGCAACGTATGTGGAAGCATTAAGCCCATGCCTGTGTCAACAGTAGCTATTTTTGTTAGAGAAACATTATGTTGATTGAGAAGATGGACAGACCCAGATTCCCACCCAGCTCCAATACTTACCACATAAAAAGAGCTAACATTGATATCGCAAGCCCTGTGCTCCAGGTACAATACGAGCATTTTACGATGAACTCATTTAATAGTCTCAGTGACCTAATGAGGTAGGTGTTCTTGTTTCTCAGGGCTTGTCAGGAGAATACCACACCAATAATTGGAAAAGAGAATCTAACTGGTTAACCGGTTGTAATGTTTTAATGAGGTAATGAAAAGGGTAAAAAGAAGGGTAGAAAGAGAGCTGTAAGGTATCAGGTAGGTAGCAAGCAATTCCAGGGAGCAGCTGCCGTCTCCAGGGCTGAGGGAGCAAAGGAAAGAGCTGGGATTACCAACACTTCCTGGACACTTAGAGGAAGGGCCCCACAGAGCTGAAATTCAGACCTCTGAGGAGGGGGCGGGTGCCAGTATCCCTGAGGGGCACATAATGAGGCTGATTCTGGAAAAAGGAGGGGGCGGGTGCCAGTGTCCCTGAGGGGCACATAATGAGGCTGATTCTGGAAAATCTACAAACTGGCTCGGTGGCTCTGTAGGAAGAAGAAAAGGATGGTACTGCTGAGGCGAAGTTCATAAGAAGCACACGGGAAGGAGCAAGTCCCCTGTTCGTCCTCGGGCTCTGCCCCTCTCGCTAGCGCCCCTACTGGCAGATATTACAAGAAGCAGCTGACTCAGCCGAAATGTGGTTCTCAGAGTTCCAGCCCCAAGCATCACAAAGCAGATAACAGAAACGTGGGCTTGGAGATGAGCGATGATAATTTAGCAACTGGCACAATTATTAGCTCCATTTTTCAGATGAAGAAACCAAGGCACAAATATATTAAGCTACGTTTGTCCAGGGTCATACAGCTAGGAAAAGGCAGCGGCAGAATTTAAACCTAGTCAGTCTGGATCCAAAAGTTTATGCCCTTAACCCCTTAAACAAGTGACTATGGACAGAAACACTTTTCTGACTTTTTTAAAATGGAGACAATACTTCTTAATGTGTAGGGCTGTCGTAAGGGTTAAACAAAACAATATAAAATATGTGCCAATCATACTTCTTGGTACATAGTAGGTTCTCAGTAAATACTAATTCTTGTTAAATATATTTTTCTTGCTTTAAGTATGAGAGGTTCATTTTGCCTTGGTGACTTTATGTGTAGTTTTGAGAGTATCTATATTGACTTTGCCTTGGAGTGGTTCCATTGCCAGTGAGTTGTTTATTTAATTTAATTCCTCCAACTTTACATATTTTAAAGTATTTAAAGTTTTCTGTGTTGGAAAGTAAACAGCAGAGAGAAGTTAATCCTGGAGCTTGATCAATGGAGGCTTTGTTGAGGATTTCCTTAAAACTCAAAATTTATCAGGGGCTATGTCAGAGCACAGAACTGGTCTTTCACTTCAGATTTTAAACAGTGGGAGAAATCATTAAATGTATTCATTCATTATTTAATGCAACAATTATTTATTGGGTGCCTAATTGTACTGGATGCTGTGCTGGCCATCAAGGGTTATATAAACACTGACAAATGGACCCTGCTTTCAAGACTGTTTCTTACAATTTAGTAGTGAGTATGATGCAACATCTCAGCTGCACATTCTCCCTCACTCTTTTTCATCTTGGCAGGTGTGTTATGTGTGTGTGTCTTGCTACATAGATGTAATGCTATCTTGTGGGTAAAATATCTATTAGGCCTACTACCGAGTTGACCTATGTCCAAGGGAGATTAATGGGTGTAGGGAGGTATGAGGGGAGGGCAGCTGCCTCTCCTGAAGGACAGTCATTCATTACTGGGGAAGAGACAAATGTCAAACTAGACACAGGGAATTAGTGGGAAAGGCTGAGAGGCCAGGCACACTGGAAAGCCCTTGGGTCCCTGGTGGTAGGTGGTAAGAAGTATGCATACAGGGATGTGAGAGTTAAAGGGTCCAGGCTGGATGCCATGATGCTTAATGGGCCTTTTTGCTCTAACATGGTTGATAGCTTGGGAGACAGGATCTAGGACAGCCAAGACCTTAGAGTCCTGTTAGTAGGTAACTGTGATAAGATGAGGAACCTCTTTTATATAAGTCAGGCTTCTTAAAAATGGTTTGTTCCCCGTCTATGTTTACTTTCTTTTGTTTAAAAGTGCCAACTGCCTGAGTAGCCCTAAATGAACTAAGCAAAGAGCTTTGTATAGTACTTTGGTCAGAACTCTAAGGGGAAGCTGGCCTTGGAGGTCAGCAAGGTGTAGTGGTGGTGTCCAAGATCCTCATGAGAAAATTCCAAGGTCATAGACATGTGGTCAAGATCTTGTAGTTTTTTCTGGAAATTCTGAAAAAATTAAAGAGATTAGGTTTTGTGGAGATATATATTGTAGGACATGGGAATACCCAAAACCAGTCCTTGATCCCTGTGGCTCAAGAGAATCAGAGGAAAATAAATGAATACCGGACAAAAACTTGCACATGAATATTGTTTCCCTAATGTACAACTTCAGCGAGCTAGGCTGAGAGAAATCGAAGACTCTTTTGTCTCCATTCCATAAAATCTACTCACTGCTCCCTAAGTATCTTTTCGAGAGTAATAACAATAGTAAGATAGTATACAGTCAATGCTCTGGTTACTTTGCAAACATTCAAAGGTTGCATTGTTTTCATTAAAGATTTTTTTTCAGATTATACTTTATTTTTTAAGAGCAGTTTTAGGTTCACAGCAAAATCGAGTGGAAGGTACACAGATTTCCTGTATACCCTCTGCCCCTTACCATGCATAGCCTCCTGCATTGTCAATTCTCCCACCAGAGTGGTACATTTATTACAACTGATGGGCCTGCATGGACACATCATTATCACTCAAAGACCTTACCTTACATTAAGGTTCATTCTTGGTGTGTTAGGTCATTCTTGTGTTGTTATGAAGAAATACCTGAGACTGGATAATTTATAAAGAAAAAGGGTTTAATTGGCTAATGGTTTTGCAGGCTGTACAAGCATGGTGCTGGCATCTGCTTGACTTCTGGGGAGGTTTTAGGGAGCTTGGCAGAAGGCGAAGTGGATCAGGCATGTCACATGGTGATAGCAGCAGCAAGAGAGAGAGCAAGGGGGAAGATGTCACACGCTTTTCAACAGCTGGTTCTTGTGAGAACTATCACGAGAACAGCATCAATGTGATAGGGCTTAACCATTCATGAGAAATCTGGCTTCATGATTCAGTAGCCTCCCACCAGGCCCTACCTCCAACATTGGGGATTACAATTCAACATGGGATTTAAAGGGGACAACATCCAATCTATATAACTTGGTGCATTATACTATATGGGTTTTGACAAATGCATAATGATGTGTATCATTACAGTATTATATCATTACAGCATAATGATGTGTATCATTACAGAATAGTTTCATTGTCCTAAAAATCCTCTGTGCTCTGCCTTTCATCTCTCTCTCCCCCTACCACTGAGAACCACTGATCTTTTTACTGTCTTCATAGTTTGCTTTTCCCAGAGTGTCACATGGTTGGAATTATATAGTATGTAGCCTTCCCAGATGGCGTTCTTTCACTTAGTAATATGCATTGAAGTTTTCTCCATGTCTTTTCATAGCTTGATAGCTCTGAACCTTTCAGCACGGAATAATATTTCATTGTCTGGATGTACCACAGTTTATCCATTCGTTCACTGAAGGACATCTTGGTTGCTTTCAAGTTTTGGCAATTATGAACAAAGCTGCTGTAAACATTCCTGTTGGATGGACATAAGTTTTCAACCCTTTTTCTGGTAAATACCAAGGAGTGTGATTGCTGGCTTGTATGGTAAGAGTATGTTTAGTTTTGTAAGAAACTGCCAAACTGTCTTTTGCATTCTCATCAGCAATGGAAGAGTTCTTATGATTCCACTTCCTTGTTAGCATTTGGTGTTATCAGTGTTCTGGATTTTGGTCATTTTGATAGGTATACTGTGGTATCTAATTGTTTTAATTTGCATTTGCCTGATAACATGTGATACAGAGCATCTTTTCATATGATTATTTGCCATATGTATATCTTTTTTGGCGAGGTGTCAACTAAAGTCTTTGGCCAATTTTTTAATCTGGTTGTTTTCTTTCTCATTGTTGAGCTTTGAGAGTTCTTTATACATTTTGGATAACAGTTCTTTATCAGATACGTCTTCTGCAGATATTTTCTTCCTGTCTGTGGCTTGTCTTTGGATTCTTTTGACAGTGTCTTTTACAGAGAAGAAAATATTAATTTTAATGAAGTCCAGCTTATCAATTCTTTCTTTCATGGACCATGCCTTCAGTGTTTTCATCCCATTTTTTCAGAAAGAAAATTGATTTGCTAAAGCCTATAGTTAATAGAGTGTTTTAAATATCCTCATTCTCCCAGCCAAACATTTCACCATGCCATGGTGTTCAGTGATCTTGAGTTTAATATATCCTTTTTCCTATCAAAGCAATCTACTCAGATCAGATAAATAAACTCACAGTAAGTTACACTTGATTTAAATGACTTCAAGTCTAATATCTCCTAAGGGTATTTGCATTTTAATAGGTAGCAGAAGGGTACATGTTAGCAAGCAGGGTACATGTTTTGGTTGGTAGAAAGACCTTATCTTTGCTCTTAAAATTACATTGTTTACCTTCAAGATTACTTCAGCAGGAAACATCAATTGGTTAGATGACCTAGGGTCACAATGCATATCATTGGTAGGCAGCCAATACTCCAGTTTGGAGCATTGAGGCTAGCACGTTTGTATTCAGTCCATGATCTTCCTCCCACCCCCATTCCCCATGAACCTCCTCACTTATGAGTGTAGTGTCCCTTGTTCCCACTCCACCGCAAACTCTCCTCCAAACAGAAGTTGTATTTTGTTAATATTTGTAATTTTCCCAACTTCCTTCTCTTTTGTATCTAGTATCTGAGAGTTTCATAACAATTGATAAGAACACCCTGTGCCCCCACGTTACAGCAGAGAAACAATGCCATGGACAGTGGTGATGCCTAATGTTAGTCTCAGGTCCCTGGAGAAGTAGCTTTTAATTTTTCCTGCTAAAGACTAAAAAAGGCTCTTGAACATTTATTGTGTTATTCTTGTTTCCTCATTCGATTCTGATGCTCCATTAGCAGTGTTCTTTTGCCCTTCGAATCCCTCCACTCAATCCCCGCTCCCTTGCCCCCATTCGCAACCTTCACTTTCAGCATCCTGCACCAGAGTGGTACATTTGTTATCATCAATGTAGTTACGTTGATGCTTCTTTATCACCCAGAATCCATAGTAGTTTACATTTGGGTTCACTCTTGGTGAACATTCTAGGGGTTTTGAGAAATGTATAATGACATGTATCTATCTAATATTGTAGTATCGAACAGAATAGTTTCACTGCCCAAAATACTCTTCAGCTCTGCTTACTAATCTCCGCTCCCCTCAACTCCTGACAACCACTGATGTTTTTACTGTCTCCATTGTTTTTTTTTTGTTTTTTGTTTTTTTTTTCCTTTGAGATGGAATCTTGCTCTATCACTCAGGCTGGAGTGCAGTGGCATAATTTCGGCTCACCACAGCCTCCACCTCCTGGGTTCAAGCGATTCTTCTGCCTCAGCCTTCTGAGTAGCTGGCATTACAAGCACCTGCTACCATGCCTGGCTAATTTATGTATTTTTAATAGAGACGGGGTTTCAACACAATGGCCAGGCTGGTCTCGAATTCCCAACCTCAAATGATCCACCTGCCTTGGCCTCCTAAAGTGCTGACCTTACAGGTGTGAGCCACCGTACCCAGCTGTCTCCATTGTTTGGTCTGTTCCAGAATGTCACATAGTTGGAATAATGCGGTATGTAGCATTTTCAGATTGGCGTCTTTTGTTTAGTAATATGCATTTAAATTTCCTCCATGTAGTTTCATGGTTTGATGGCTCATTTGTTTTTAGCACTGAATAATGTTCTGTTTTCTGGATGTATCACAGTTTATTTATTCATTTAACTACTGAAGGACATCTCAGTGTCTTTCAAGGTTTGGCAGTCGTGAATAAAGCTGCTATAAACATCTATGTGCAGGTTTTTGTGTGGACGTGTTTTCAACTCATTTGGGTAAAATGAAGGAACACAGTTACTGAATCAATTTTCATTTGTCTTTTTTTCCCACAAATGACTCAGAGCCTTTGCTCCATTTCCCTCAAGTATCTGCTCCAACTTTTGTGTTTTCTCACTTGTGCTTCCTTGGTTTTGGCCATGTGTTTCCTGCATTAAGTCTCCAGAGTCCCCAAGAATGATCTATGTCCCCTTGGAGGAATGTAAGAAAGAGTGAGATGCTCTTTATCAGTAATGCAGGGGAGGTTTTTTTTTTTTTTTTTTTTTTTTGAGACAGAGTCTTGCTCCATTGCCAGGCTGGAGTGCGGTGGCACAATCTCGGCTCACTGCAACCTCTGCCTCCTGGATTCAAGTGATTGTCCTGCCTCAGCCTCCCGAGTAGCTGGGACTACAGGCGCCCACCACCACGCCCAGCTAATTTTTTTTTTGTATTTTTAGTAGAGACAGAGTTTCACCATGTTGGTCAGGATGGTCTCAATCTCTTGACCTCGTGATCTGCCCGCCTCGGCCTCCCAAAGTGCTGGGATTAAAGGCATGAGCCACTGCGCCTGGCCCATGCAGGGAAGTTTTTAATGTAGCAACTAGATTTGGACAAGTCAAGGAGAAGAAACCAGAGGATGAGTTTATAGCACCCAAGAGTTAAATTCCAGTCCTGCCATGCAGTTCTTACGGCCATGCAGTTCTTACTGGGCCTTTTACATCACTCTGAGGGTCTGAACACTGAATCTACCTTGAGGGAAAATAAAAGTCACTGCTTTCTGATAGTGACAATTACCCTTGAAGGTCCTGACAGGCGATGGAAAGGGAATCAGGCTCCCTAGAGCAGAGCCCGTATTATCTTTAATCCAATGTTATCTTTCCATGGCCTGTGAAAGATGCCCAGTGGCTTTTTGGAAGATGCTGCCTAATAAAAGTGACAAAACAAGCAAGCTGAATTTAAAAGTTAGAGATCCTCTCTACAGACTCACAACAATAGGGACTTTAGGAGAGCCTATTATTTCTATTTTTTTTCCAGAAAAAATGCTGAATTAACATTTTAATATATTGTTAATTAAAAAAATACTAATTAACTTTTCTAGATAGAGGGAAGTTTTTGAGGCAAGTATTATTCAAAAGATCAAAGGCTATTTGTTAAACACACTGACACTAACTTTTATAGTCATCTCTTCTCTGAATTTTATCCATAAAAAGATCCAGAAGGACAAACTTGGCATTTTAGCAATGTAGGTCAAATTCTATCGCTATGAGCTCCAGGGGACAGGCTGTCCAGTGCTTTTACTCTTCTTGAACTTGTGTTCTATTGAATAGCATTTGGAGAATATGAGCCTGGGTCTGAGGCTTTGAGAGTGTATCACGGATTTTGTAAAAAATTTGTTTTTAATTGACAAATAATAATTGTATATATTTATGGGGTCCAATGTGCCATAGATTTTTAATGTGATGGCATTTGTTAAATGGGAATTGAAGTCATTTCACTTTTTGTCTTATCCTTTTTCTCTTCCCTTGCCTTGGTGGAGAGCAATCTAAGTCTTACCAAGGTGTGTACTCCCCCCATATCCCACTGGCTCCGGTCAAGGGTCTCCTTCATTTCCATCTTCTCTCCCTTAATTTTCAAACATCCTGAGACATCCCAAAGATAGACTGCATGTTCAGATTTGCTTACGTTACAGTCAAGCATCTCAAACTTAGAAGAGTGGGCTTCAGGAATGGTGTAGGCCAGTGGCTTTAGGAGCCCTCTTCAGCAAAGAGCAAGTGTATTCTTGTAAATTGTGTTGGAAGTAAGGCCCAAGCTGGATTGCTTAAAGCATTCACCTTGTATTTCTGGAGCAAAGGAAAAATAATAGTGCCTCAGAGTACAACTCACTTTGTTAAATATTAAACATGGTCACTTTCCAGTTCCCCTGTGGTTTCCTGAGTTTCAGCAGGTTTATTCAAGCTCGTCCTCTAGAGTGCATTTCTAGCCTGTGAGTTAAACCCAGTTTTTCAGAATGACAGTCACTGTCAGAGGTGGGGCCTAGATGAGGTTTTGCTGGGAAATGTCAGAAAGGAGCTGTAAAGCCGTCCAAATGTGATGCAATTTCTTCCCTTCTTGAAGGGACTACCAACTGGAAAACCCATGGCACAACTCAGAAAAGCTGGTCAGACTGTTATGAGGTCAAAATTTTGGTTTTGTGTCTCTATGTAGCCTTTATTTTAGGTTAACTAAAACAAAAGTTTTCATAAATAAATTAAAATCTTCAATTCTTCAGAAATGCTCAAGGTAAGATTTAAGAAATAAAGAATGAAAATCCATCTCATTTCCCCCACTTCTTATAACAAATATCATTCTCTATGCAGAGATTAGAAAATCAGGCCAGGTGCAGTAGCTCACATTTGTAATCCTAGCACTTTGGGTAGCCAAGGTGGGAAGATTGCTTGAGGCCAGGAGTTCGAGATTAGCCTGGGCAACATAGCAAGACCCCATTTCTACAACAAAATTTAAAAAATTAGTTGGGCATGGTGTTGCAGCTATAGTCCTAGCTACTTGAGAGGCCGAGGTGGGAGGATTGCTTAAGCCCAAGAGTTAGAGGTTACAGTAAGCTATGATCATGCCACTGCACTCTAGCCTAGGTGACAGAGTGAGACCCAATCTAAAAAAAAAAAAAACACAATTCAGTTATGTTTTATTTTGCCCATTTGAGTGATTTTAAAAAATACTGAGCCAATATTTTTAAATATGAGTGTTTTCACATAAGTACCTGGCTTTCTGGCTTGTTTTGAAAAATTGGAGTATCTGAAAAGTTAGCATGGATTTCCAAATGCCAACAATCAACCATGATGAGGGGCCCCTGCCCACTCTAAACAGGGAAAGGCACCTGCAGTTAATCACAGTCTTCACCTTTCCCTGTTGTATTCCTGATACACTCCAGCTCATGCCTTTCACTGCCTTCCTGGCCCCTAGTAGCACTGAAGTCTTTGACTTCTAATCTGTGGGATATTATGCTACTATTTTCCCTGAGGAGTTCGAAGTCCTTATGCTTTAGCAGAGCTCAACCCTGGGCTGTCTTGCAAACACATTCTATTCAGCAAATTCATTAATTACGGTTCAGATTTTCTTTGAAACATGTTAGGCTCCAAGAAAATTAATTTGAACAAATATACTTTGTTTTAAATTTATTTTCTTGCAATGCATTGTGACATTAACACTTTTTAGTAAATAATTCCGTTTCATACAATCTTGCATTTCCTCTGAGTCCCTGGACTTACAGAATGACAGTTCTACATTCTATTTAAGCTAAGAATCATTTTCTATTAAAATGAAATTAAGGATAGGTGTTAACACATGAATATGCTGGCTTCCTACATAATTACATTAGTCCAAGTTCATATATTATTCCAAACATGAATCTTTCAGGCCAAAAATATTCTCAAACATCAATACCGAATCCTGAAACAACCAATGTAGGGATTAAATAGGAGGGAGAAATATTAATATATTCACAAAAGGAAGAAGTAGCAAGGAAAAGCTGGACTTTAAAATGCAAATGATAGGATTCTGGGAGGCTGTTGCCTGTACTGATGGGTCCAGAACCTCCAGAACCATGACCAGGTACTGGTCTAAGGTAAGGTGAGTGAGGCAGGCACAGAATTTAAGAGGGTGCCAACAATCTCAGTTATCACCAAAAATAATTTATTAACAAGTTCTGTTATTTCCCATCCTCCCCATTTTACAGCTGAAAAAAACTGAGGCTTAAAGATATTGAATAACTTGTCCAAGGTAACAGCTAATAATTGACAGAGCCAGGATCCAAGCAGCTTGACTACAGAACCTACCCATGTCCATTTACTATAAAGTCTAGTACTGCTTGACTGACTCAGCCTACAGTTAGATCGTCACACTCGTTGGATGCCAACGTGACTCCACTATCCTGATGGTACCTATGAGGTTCATGACCTCAGCGCAGCCATACATAGACTGGCTCTAGGGAGCTGAATTAATTTAGTGGGCAGATGTGGCCTGTTGGTTTTCTTGTACTTCATGCCTTCTGTTCAATGCAATGTTAGGGAGGAGAGGGAGGAGAAGGATACAGGGAGAGAAGGAACGAGAATCAGGAAATACGTAGTCACAGAGAGAGACTGGAACCTAAAGACCAAAACAATGAACAGATAACCTGTGGTTGGTGGAGGCAAGAGCAATGGGGAATGGACTGTTTCACCATAAAGTGTGAGCCCAGAATGGAGAGCACGGTGGCATCCTGCAGCTGAAGAGAATACACATAACTCATACTAGAGCTGTATTGAAATGACCTTCCAGGCTCTGGGAGTATGTCTGTGGCCACTCGAGCTTGTTTTCTGGCTTCTTTGCTGTGTGTTCATCTCTTGTCCTTCCCTAAACATCCATTTTGAATTTTAAACATTATTTTAAATTGGCAGTCCATATATTAATAGAAATAGCCTAAGGTGTTTACTGCAACCCAGAAGAGCCCAGTGGGCCCCATCCCTGCTTTCAGGACTCCCTCTTCCCCATCTGAGGTGTCCTGTTGTCCTGTCTTTTCACTGACCTCCCTTTTTTCCTGGCACCTGCCTTCCTAGCCATCATTATACTAACGTAAGAGCCTTTATCAGCAGAGCCATGTTTTTCCTTTGCGATGCTCCATGAAATGGTAAAGAGCCCAGTTGTCTGTGTTCCTGCAGCTGAGAGTGCTTCATTATCTGTCAGTTTCTCCATGCCTTCAGGGCCTGAAGCAGAGAGTGAGGAGGAGAGGGCTGGCCAAGAAGAGGGCAGTGTCTGAGAGGGAAGGCATTCAGAGCTAAGAAGGAAGTTCTGTTACATTTGCACTACACTGGAAGCATATCTGTCTACAGGCATATTTCCTGTAGAATACTTACCTTTAATTTCAGACTTGCTGCTACTGCCATAACCAGATTTAAAATATATTTGGTAGATGTTCCAGCACCACTTAACTCATTAAAAATAATATTTAACTCTCTAACTCAGTGATTCTCAGTCCTGTCACATTCAACAACCCATTTGGCAATAAATATTTAACATTTTGTAATGATGTCTCTTTTATTACTTGTAAGGATAATATAACCTATTTATGCATAATTTTTAAAATTCTCTAACTGTACAAGAAAAAATAACAGGAAATTAAATAAGTAAATATCAATTATTGGGCAGGAGTCTACCAGAGAAATATAAGGCTGTCAAGTATTCTTACCTTTTTTTAGCTGGAACTGTGAATAATGCAGTCTGATAAGGTGTTTTATATTAGCCACTCAGAACAATATGAGTGGTTAATATACAAGTACCATTATATTCCATGATGTGGTTGCCCGAAAAGGTGACTGTGGCAAGCAGAATAATGGTTTCTCCAAAAATGTCCATGTCCCAAACATTGGAACCTGTGAATACATACCCTTACATGGAGAAAGGTACTTTTCATGGTTGCCCGAAAAGGTGACTGTGGCAAGCAGAATAATGGTTTCTCCAAAAATGTCCATGTCCCAAACATTGGAACCTGTGAATACATTGCCTTACATGGCAAAAGGTACTTTTCAGATATGATTAAGTTAAGGATCTTCAGATAGGGAGGTTATACTGCATTGTCTGGTGGGCCAAATGTAATCACAAGGGTCCTTGTAAGAGAGAGGCAGGAGAATTAGAGTCAGAGAAGGAAATACAACAACAGAAACAGAGGCTGGAGTGATCCAGGGCCATGAGCCAGTGAATGCCAGCAGCCACTAGAAGCTAGAAAAGGCAAGAGAAGGGGTTATCCTTAAAACTTCCTGAAGGACCACAGCCCAGTGGGTCACTTTAGACTTCTGATCTCTAAAATTATAAGAAAATAAATTTGTGTTGTTTGAAGCCCCTATGTTTGTGGTAATTTCTTACGGCAACAAAAGGATACTAATACAGCCATCAACTCTTGGAAAATTCCAAACTATCAAAGTACAGTCTTTATAAAATTTATATGATCGCTTCCTTCCTGGAAAATTCGTTATGTATTCAAAGTGTGCAAAAATACTTTGTAATTATATGTAAAACAGAGCTTGATTCTAGACTCAAAAAATTATTAGGGTTTTCCTTCTGTTGCCTATCAAGTCTTCTGTTTTCACGCTCTTATGTCCTCTCTCTTCTCGACTCTCACCCACTTGCAGTTTTTGGTTTATATCTCATGCCAAGCAATTTAGCTTCCACCTTTTTTTGAGGTCTTCTTGCAGACAATGGCCTTGTGGCTTTGCCTTGCCTTTGCAGAGCAGCCCTTTAAGATGTTTTCCACAAACATGGTTCCTTCCCCAAGGATGCCAGCTGCTAAAATTCTTGTATGAGGAAGTTGTTCTTCCTTCAGCCTAAAATGACCTTCAGCTCCCAGTTCCTGAGTTTGACTGATGCCCAGTGGTCCTTCAAAACTCATCTCAAGTGCCGTATCTTCCAAGCAGCATCTTTCACCTCCACTTCATGGATAGGTCCTCCTCTTGGGTTTTCATTGATATCTAGACTTATGTATCTTTTATCTTTTACCTACTTTGTTTTTTCTGTGTGCAAACACTATGCTAAGCATTCTAGATATATTTTGTCATTTATCTTCTATATCAATCCTGTGAGTTATTATTTATCCTCATTTTATAATGAAGAAACTGAGACCCAAAGAGTAAATATTTAAAATTTATAGATTAAAAAATAAAGGATTCTTGTACTTAGAATCCTTGATGTTTACAAAATATTAAGTTTCAAAGGGTTACCTTTAAAAGGATTAGATGTTTACAATTTTTTACCCATTAGTTATTATTTGTTATATTTGTATGTACATAGAGAAAATTTTCAGACTATGCCCCAAACTCTTCAGGTTGCCTGGGTTTGCTTTATGCGTTTGTATTATTTGAACTTTTTACAATTGTTAATTAGTGGGTTCTAACTTATTTGGCCTTCATGTATAAAATTTAAAGAAAAAAAATAAAGGTTTTAATGGTATTTTAAATATTTTCTAGGCCAATTCTTTGCTTTTATGTTTTTAAATATAATTTTTCATGTGTAATAACAAATTTCATTCGTTCACATACTGATATGCTCCATGCTTACTTGAGTGTCACTATGAACCAGGTTCAGATCTAGGCATGGAGTATGATAGTGAATAAGAAAGACGAGGGCTTTGCCTCTGTGGATCTCACATTCCAGTGGCGAATGTGTTCAACACTGTAGCAGGTAGCCACAGTATTATGAAGAGAAAGAAAGCAAGGTAAGGGCTAGAAAATGGTGGGGGGTTCTCTGATACACAGCCGAAGGAGGTCTCTCCAGGGGTCTGATATGTGAGCATGGGCCTGGGTAAAGTCAGTGAGAAAGCCATGTAAACATCTGGTGAAGTGTGTTGCAGAGTGTCATTTATAATGTGTATGCAATAATTTGGGTTTTATTTTGAAATCAGAGTTACTCATATCGAAGGTGTCTATTGAGCATGTACTGGGTGCTTGGTGGGTGGGATTGGGGTAGATAACAGGGAAATATGAAACATGACCTTGGCCACCTTGTTTACAATCTTGATGAGAAAAAATATGCATGTAAAAATATAGAATAGTAAAACATTATGGAATTATTTGACACTAAATTATGTGACACAGATTCTTGGTTTTGAGGGACCCCTTTGGGTCTTTCCCCTTTTAAAAGTAAAAGTCTAATTTTGTTAGATTCAAACCTTCTTAAGGACAAGGCAGTAGAACTAAAATAAGAAGGTGAGAAAAAGGTTCTTTAATGGAACTTTAGTTCTCACTCCTGTAGGGATGTCTTCCTCTTAGGACGCTACTGAGGGAGGTTGTGAAGTATGATTCTGATTGGAGATAGGAATCTCTACTGGAAACCAGACAGTTGATTTACGGTAGATGGCATCCGCAGAAGTGGTAGGTTTCCTTGGACCCAGACTCTTGTGTCACTGAAGTATGGTGGGAAGAGTAGCAAATGTGTTATTTTTCTTGCTTCTCTTCCCCATGGCTCCCATGTGCTATCAACAACTGAGATTTCAATTTAGACTTAAAATCAAATTAAGACTATGCACCAGACTTAGCTCATTTGGTGATGTCAATAAATGATTTGTGACTAGAACATGAATATGCTAACAGTATTTGTGCTGGTGGGATTATGACAGTTTCTGTATTTTTCAAGTTTTCTGCTTTCCACAAATCCTGATTGTTCATAACACAGTTTCTAATTATACTTCAGTTTCTGATATTACCTATGAAATAAAAACAGGTAAAAATTAATAATTTGAAAAAGCATTAGATTCATTTTGCTAATGAGTACATTTCCAGTTTTCACAATAGACTTTTCTCTACTAAATTTAATATTTTGCTTCAAAGATTGATGCTTGAATCAACTCTCTTTTATTTTAATGAGGAGTATCATTGCAAGCATTAATTATAATATGTAGTGTTCACACTATGATTTTCACCCAAAAATGTAGAAACATATTTTTAAAATTAGTAATCCCTTAAATAAGCCTACCATAGCAGATAGGCAGCAAATATTTACGTTTTTAAAGAAGGGCTTAGAGGTTAGCTGACAAGAAAAAGAACACAGTGACAAAAAAACTGGATAAGTTTTTCTTCCGCCTGATAGGAAATATACTTTTTTGAAAAGCTGCCTAGACTGTTCGTCAAACTGATCCTAATGATGCTAGTGAGGTTTCCTGAAATACACATAAGTGCTGCTACAAACCTGAGTAGGAAGGCTTTCCCTGTGGTTTTGATTTATAATTTCATTAGCTGCAAAATCAAAGACAAGGCTCCCCTTTGTTTTGTTCTGTGGTGGTAGAATTCCAGGCAATGAGCTCTACGTGTGCTGCTTCTCAGATGGGGGCCTTTTATTGTTTCTGATGCTCTTTCTTGCAATTGCACCACGGCAATGTGCTAATCCTAGTCCTGTTTGCCTGCACATGCCTGCCTTTCCTTTCCTTTGCTCTGCCCCCTATAACAGTAGGATCAAACCTTGCAGGTTAGATTGATTCTCATGCTCCTCCTTGTCAGTTGATTTCTGGCAGGAATCAACCAATGGAAGGTTCTGGAAGGTTGGAGGTTGGGAGAAGCCAGGGCCCCCAGCTTCCTCCAGGTGATCCGAATGTCTGCCATCTCCCTTTATGCCTGTAGCTTGGGGAGGTGGGTAGTGGCTTTCTGCTGCTGCTAGTGTCTGGGCTGCCTCACTTTCCTGTTTGGCTCTCAGCAGCTCTCGCATTGCCTGTGCCACCAATTCTCTGTTGTTAAAGTTTCTGTTTTAGATTTAAAGTGGTTTTTGATTTCCTGCTTAGATCTTGGCTGATACAGGTATCATTTCCCAGGGATACTTGCTAACAGAATGAACTGTGGTTTTCATGAGAATTTTTGGAAAATTAAAGTTTATAAAATTTACCTAATTTTAGGCCTGAAGGAAGAGAATAATATGGGAAAACTTAGAAGATAATGATGATATCATTTTGTAGGCAGCTCTTTCTGAGCTGATGAATTATTTTACATGCTGCTATAAAATGAGACATTAATTTCATAGACCTTTGAGTTTCTTTAATATACACTTTGGATTTATAACATTTTTATAGTTAGCAAGGGATCTAATGTGAAATAAAATGATCCCACTACAAAATACTAATTGAAATACTTAAAAGATTATATATAACAGCATAACATCATTGTCCTTATTTGAGACAGATATAACCGTAAGATAGACTGAGAAATAAGTTTACATGATTTTTCTGAGATAGAGGAAAAATGTATATCCTGGATCAGTTACCAGCATTGATAAGAAAGGGACTAGTATCTAGCATCTTCCACATTTCCTTAGCCACACAGCGTTCTGCAGTGGGAAAGCCACTGGACTTGGAATCACAAAACATAGTTCTTATCCAAGGTTAGGTTTGATAGAGACAGGGATGTGCAAGTCATTTATTGAGGGAAGGACTTGTAAGGAAGTGAGGGAATAGGATGGGGAGGGATCCAAGATAAGCAAAGATGTGTTTCAGCTGAAGTCTAGTCTCAGCCTGATTGCACAGGAAACATCGGAGCTTGAATGTCACCAAAGTGGCTGGGCTTTGGTACCCCTGTATCAGTCGGTCATTCACTGTGGGAGGCCCCTGGGGTAAATGTATATAATCCCCCAAGCATTAACATGGAGGGCAATTCTCTGGAGAAAGGTGCAGCTATGAGCTCCTAGCAGGAACACCCACAAGTTGCTGACAGATGGATAAACTGACCTAATAAAGGAGAGATGTGTGAGACAGCCACAGCATCTGCTGTAGATACCAAAAAACACAGTGTCGTGTCTCTATCACTTACAAAGTTTTTGGTACCAGACAGGAAATGTAACCCCTCCAAGCCTCAGTTTCCTTATCTGTTTTAAAAATAAAAATGTCAGGGAGTTGGTAATAAGAACTACTTTGACTATCACTCATAAATGTGCTTTGCAGCTGGAGACGATTATCCTAAGTGAATTAAGGTAGAAACAAAATCGAATACTTCATATTCTCACTTTTAAGTGGGAACTAAACATTGGGTACTCATGGACATGAAGATGGGAACAATAGACACTGGGGGCTGGCAGAAGGGGGGAGAGGAGGAGGAAGGGGGGACAAGGGCTGAAAACTACCTATTGGTACTATGCTCACTACCTTGGTGATGGGACCTCAGGTAGTGACCTCAAACCTCAGCATCATGCAATATACCCATGTAACAAACCTTCCCACATACTCACTGAATCTAAAGTAGCATAGGAAGTAGATATATAAGCAGTGAACTATATTTTGTAATTGATTATTTCAATACAGAGCATACAAAAACAAGAGTAATTAATCCTGCCAAGAGAAATCAGAAAAGTCTTCATATAGGAGGTGGTATTTGGGTTGACCATTAAAAGATGAATACGAGTTTTCAAAATGGACATAGGTAGACAGAAGGCGTGCTGAGTAGAAAAAACAGCATCAGCAAAGCTATAGAGACATGAAGTCACCTGGAATGATGAGCTAATGCCAGGTGCTTTAGTGACTAATGCGAAGGGTGTGTTGTGGGTTGGGGTGGAGATAATTAGATAAGTAGAATGTGCGGAGAAAGGTTGAACCAGGCCAGATGGCAGTGCCCTGTATTATATTCTAAGGAATCAGAGCAGAGAGACATCGCTAACATAGATGTATGTGTATAGACCATACACATACAGTCAACATAGTGGAAATATTAAACCGAGGTGTGACTGGTTGACAAGGCAGTGTTGGAGTGAAGGTCTTGCTGGAGTTAGAAGGAGCCTTACCTGCCATTTTCAAATGTGTTTCAGATGCAGTCTTACAGTGAAAGTTAACGCGGTCTAAAAGTCAGAGTCGTTCTGATGGAATCATTGAGGGTAAAGGGTGAGAAGGGGCCTGTAGGATGGGGGCCCAGAGACTTATCTGAGTGTCCCTTTGCTCTTTTTGGTTACCAGGTGAAAAAACAAAAAGTCACATGAAATTGTGTATGATTTACCTTAGGCTAGAACACGAATCTGTGAAAGTGTTGGAAAACCTTCCACCTTACGTTTATGTTCTTTATATATCTAAATATTATGGACAAAATCTCAAATGACGTGTGAAGTTTTGTTTCACAGAATGTTGAGTTGTAATAGAGTCCAGTCAATGTTGGCTGTTATTATTACTGTTTTACCCATTAACCAAAGCACTCAAGTATATTTAGGAAGCAGGTATGGGAAGGGTGAGGGAGAGAGAGAGTGTGTGAGAATGTGCTGAATCCCTTCTTGGATCTGGGCTGGGGAAGGGAAATGGGAGTCCTGTGTCTGGGCTGATGATGGGACAGCTGTCAGAAGTTGTCTCCTGCAGGCTACAGTCCCTCTCTTTGTAATCATTCCACAGTCTCAATATCAGTCTTGGCACGAGGTGGTGGAGGCAAGTTGTAAAATGTTCTATGTCCAAGTTGCTCTGAGCTCTTATCTTCTGCCCCATGGTGACACATATCTTCTTCTTAATTTGATCCCTAAATGAGTTATCTCAGTTGGATGAGAGGAGCAAAATGCAGAGGGAAGGGTAGCAGAGGAAACACATCCATGAGTGGGGGGCAGCAGGACAGAGGGCCTGCTGTAATTACCTGCGGGGTTTTTTCAAGCTACTCACCTCTCTTCTTCCACTAGAAGAGTGGATATTATACCCCCCTTGGGTAAGGGGAGGTGACTGGTGAGCCTCTAAGTCATGGAGAGTGCTCTATTCCTTAGCCATGTTGGGGAGAAAAGTAGTTCAAAACCCCTGATTTAACCTTTGCTTCTTTTTTGTCGTTCTGATAAATTCTTGGGAGAATCCTTTCTAACTTCATGTTAGCCATGACACCTAGCAAATTGCTAGCTCTCAGTATTTATTTATTACAGCCCTTAGCATGTATAATTAATCCTAATGATAGTATGATAAAAATGAGAACCATCACTGCTGAAAGTTTTAAGGTCATATGGTAGATAGTTCTGGACAAATTCCAACATTTCTTTCCTGATTTAGCAATGGGGAATGGAATAAGAGGAAGGAGATCTCATATGTGTTTTCTGTGATCCTCTGTCTTAAAGATATTCTGTATTCGGAGTCACTTCTAAACACCTAGAGTCATGAGTGAATAATAATGACATAAAAAAGAAAGATGGCTGCAAAGAGCTTTGCATTTTGGTAATTTGTAAGTGAAAGGGTAGGTGAGGGGGAGGAATTAATAATTTATAATGAAATCTTTTAAATGAAATAAGCTTAATACAAATCCGTAGCTTAGTTCCAATGGAGAGGGTTTTAAAAAATTTCTCCAGTGCAGTTTAGACATATTTAAGTAGCGGAAAAGAAATGGTACAAGGTTAACTGTATTGTAATTTTATCTCTTTTTTAACTTACAATTTTATCACACAGAGGCATGCACATGGTTATAAAAGTCAAAAAGTACTAAAAGACATATATACAAAAAGAGCAGTCACCTTCTCCCCTGCCCCAACTCAAGGCCATTCTCCAACAGTAGTGAACTGCTTACAGCCCTTTTCTTGTTCTATGACTTCCTTTAGTTTCATACCCTATCCCCTCACCTCCTATATCCTTTAAATATAGTTATTTTATAATATTTGGTTACATCCATATTCATGGGTGTTTTTTTTTTTGTTTTTACTAGGTAAATGTTATTTATTGCTGAGCCAAATAGTAGGCTATGATTACATAGCTTTATTTTATAACCTTCTGTTTTCCTGGATTTAACAACTGCCTTGTTCATTTTTAAAATCTGCTTCACTGCCTTCAGATTTCTGGCCCAACTCTTCCCATACCCCACAACAGCTTTGTCAAATGTCTTAAAATTTTTCTCATAATCAAATCTGTCAAATAATCTATCATATCCATTTTTTTTGAGACATCCATATCCTTCAGCTATTCTCTTTCACCCTAGATTGGGTTCTCCTGGGGCCTGTTACAGAACTGGACTTTGCCTAATTCACTTTGCTTCTCTTTCTTGTGTCTGGGATGTCATGCCATTTTTTTTTTTTTTTTTTTTTTTTTTTCAGTTTATGTATTCATCCTCCTGTAGCTTCCTGAGAAGTCATGGGAGGTAAGTGTTCTGAGACTTCAATGTTTGAAAAAGAATATTTATTCTACCTTTATACCTGATTAATAGTTTGGCTAAATTGAGAATCCTTGGTTGCAAATAATTTTCTCTCAGAATTTTGAAGATATGTCTACACTGACTTCTAGCTTGTAATGTTGCTTTCAAGAAGATGGTTGTTTTTCTTATTCCAGATCCTTTGCCTGTGACCTGTTTTTCCTTGCTGGAAACCTTTAAGATCCCTTTATCTCTGATAATCTTGAATTTCACAATGCTATCCTCAGTATGGGTTACATTTCATTCATTTGCTGTATCTTTTAAGCCAGAAATTCATGTCTTTCAGTTCTGTAAATTTCCTTGGTTTGTTTATTTCAGAATTTCTCCATCGATGATTTCTCTGTTCTCTCTTTCTGGAACTCCTATTGGTTGGATTGAATCTCTAACTTTCCTAAGTTTTCTGCGCTATTTTCTATCTCTTTGTCATTTTGTTCTACTTTCTGGTGAATTCCTTGACCTAATCTTATTGCCTTTTTACTGTTTCTTATTTTTAAATTTTAGTGCTATTTTAAAGTCTGTATCTAAAATAACTTCACTAAAAATTTTTTTATAGCATCATGTTTTAATTTCATGGATGTGAGTTTTAAAAAAATTACTTTTAAACTTCCTACTTTTTTCCTTTTCCAGTAGACGTGCTAATACCTCCTCCATGCAGGAGGGGACAGGTGCCAAGAGTGTGTCTATCCCTAGGCCTGTTGGGGAGAAAAGTGTCAGAACTCCTGAGACTTCTGATTAGAGTGTCTTTGAAGTTTTCTTTTCTTCCTGCATTGTATCTGTTTCTTGTGAGTTTCTTTTATTTTCTCAATTATTGATTTGCTTGTTTCACTTTAATATTGCAGACTTTCCCCACATGCCTGGAATCCTTGGCTGTCTATTCATATTCAAGAGAAAATCTTTGGAAAGCTGAGGGGAAGTTTTGTGTTTATTCATTGGACTTTTCAACTTGCGGGCTTCACCGCAGGGCCATTAGGATGACATGGCTTTTTCAGCAGGGACCTTCAAATGTCAGAATCTGTAGTATTTTGGCTGAAGGTGGTTTAGTTTTGCTAGAGAAGTTTCCTCCAATCATCTGGGGGTTCATTCTGTGCAGTCTGCGACTTTCATTTCATCTCCCTGTTTTCTCTCGTATGTCTAACCTCCACTTGACCTTCTACCTCTTGTCTCTGAGTCTGGATCCTTACCTCCTCCAGCTGGGCTAAGGAAGCAGTAGCCAGACCCAGCCTCTTCCCACCTTCAGAGGCACTTGTGCTCCTAGCCTGTCTGGATTCTGTGAGCATTTCCAATTCACTTCTCATCAGTGCCTCCCTTTGGAAGCACTTAGCTGTGTCCCGGCTTCTCTCTGGTGACCCATCTACTTCTCTATTGCTTTCTGCCATCTTATGATTTAGTTCACAGTTAAAACTGTCTCCAAAACGGATGAAGGTTGACTTTCTATTTCTGATTCTTTTTTCCTTAAGTGTTTGGGTGATGTTTAAGATGAGAGAGGTTGGGCTGGGTGCAGTGGCTCATACCTGAAGTCCCAGCACTTTGGGGAACCCAGGCAGGAGGATTGCTGGAGCCCAGAAGTTTGAGGCCAACTTGGGAACCATAGAGAGATCCTGTCTCCACAAAAAATTTAAAATTAGCTGGGTGTGATGGTGTGCACCTGTCGTCCCAGTTACTCAGGAGGCTGAGGTGGGAAGATCGCTTGCGCCTAGAAGATCGAGGCTATGGAGAGCCATGATCATGCCACTACACTCCAACCTGGGCAACAGAGCAAGACTCTGTCTTGAAATGAAATGAAATGAGAGATGCTGGAAATATATACTGTCTTGAAACTGAAAATCTGGTAATCATCATTTTAATTATGATGGGCAATAATTGGTGATGGCTAAGTAAATTGCTGTGTAGAAAGACATTTTTTTCCTCTTAAATTTTGTATCTGCTGAAAGCTGATATACAAATCTGATGAAAATATGCCTTTTCCTTAAATTTGTGAGGGCAGGTGGGAAACAATGGAAGTGGTTGATTATGGCTGAAAATGACATTGCAGCATATTTTCCCCCATCATTGATAGACTGGGGATTTCTTCCCTTATTTTCATACGAATTTATACTTTCAGATCGCATCAAGGTTAGAATACGATGGAAGGTTGTAGTGAATTTTCCAAGTGATCTGTAGTACTCTGAATTTTTGCACAAAAGTCCCAAGTACAATCTTGACCTGTGGAAAGAGTGCTCGATATTCTGGTGTCATGTAAACTGACACATCATGGTTAAAAGCAACAGAGGGAATAGGAGAAGAGTCAAATGGCAGGATTATGATGGGAAGAGGATACTGAAGTATTTCCTGAGAGAGAGAGGTTTATGGGATTGATACAAACAGGAACCAGATTATAGATGGTCAAAGAGGATAGTTGATGATACTGAGTACTTATTTTACATGGCAAGGTCTGTGCTTGGAAGTGCCTTACATACATTATGTTATTTAATTATCATAATAACCCTGTAAGGAAGATGCCGTTACTTTGATTTTACAGGTTAGGAGACAGAAAATGAAGTAACTTGCCCAAATTTACACAGGACCAGGGTTCAGTTCTGGGCAGGCTTACCCTGGAGCCTCTGCTACTAACCCACTCTGTGGTGAATGAAGAGACCATGGAGATAGTGAATAGAAAAAAGGGAGGCAGCCAGTATTAATGTACATCCAAGGAAACTGTGCCCCAGGGGTCTTGTGTGTATTTCTGAGAAGAGGGGTGAGAAAAGGCACTGTGTCAACATTTGCTTCTGCCTGAACGTGCACCTCCCAGTGCTCCTCCATCAATTAGGAGAACTGTCTTGAAGAATGCTGCCTCAGCTTCTGAAGAGAAGACCCCAGGACATGCATTAATGAGAGGAGGGGAGTCACAGCTGCAGAAGAATAAAGCTCTCTGAGGGAGCCTGGGGCCCCCAGTGAGGCCTGGAGCTTGTTGACAGAGCAGCAGGAGACCCCTGCTGCTGGGCTCCCCCTGCCTCTGTAGCCTCCCTGCTGCATCTTGGAAGAGCTCACTCTTCACCGTGACTCGCCTTATATGGGACAATTAATGAGCAATGCGATGGCAGGAGACACTTCTCTATGTTGTTCATAGCTTGGGCTTGTGACCAGACAATCCACCATTGCCCTCCTGGTTCCGTTAGAGAAGTGCCTTTTCAGCAGTTTGCAGAATCAGGTTGCAAAAGCAAAGGGCCCAAAGTTAAATGCGTCACATGTTTCATTTATTTAGTCAATTGCTTTTGGGAGAAGCACGGATTTAGAAGGGAGTGCTGTTTTGTTCTGAGAGGTAATCCCTCTTTGGTCATTACTAGGATGCTTATTAGAATTACTTTGGACAAGAATGACTGGATTCTGTTACTCACTAATTCAATACAGAAGGAAGTCCCTTAAACAAAACAGTATTTTTGAAGGGCTTTCCTCTGCTAAACTGGTTTTGATTCTAAGAGGAAGGTATTATTATTCCCTTTTTAAAGATTAAGAAACTAAGGCTCAGAGATGTTTATGTAAGTACTATACCCAAGGCCACACAGGTGTTGAAATGGAAGCAGAAGTAAGATTGCCTTGCTCTTATTCAGCATGGTGCTCTTTCTTATTTATTTATTTATTATACTTTAAGTTCTAAGGTACATGTGCACAACATGCAGGTTTGTTACATATGTATACATGTGCCATGTTGGTGTGCTGCACCCATTAACTTGTCACTTACATTAGGTATTTCTCCTAATGCTATCCCTCCCCACTCCCTCGACCCCACGACAGGCCCTGGTGTGTGATGTTCCCCACCCTGTGTCCAGGTGTTCTCATTGTTCAATTCCCACCTGTGAGTGAGAACATGTGGTGTTTGGTTTTCTGTCCTTGTGATAGTTTGCTCAGAATGATGGTTTCCAGCTTCATCCATGTCACTACGAAGGACATGAACTCACCATTTTTTATGGCTGCATAGTATTCCATGATGTATATGTGCCATATTTTCTTAATCCAGTCTATCATTGATGGACATTTGGGTTGGTTCCAAGTCTTTGCTATTGTGAATAGTGCCGCAATAAACATATGTGTGCATGTGTCTTTATAGCAGCATGATTTATAATCCTTTGGGTATATACCTAGTAATGGGATGGCTGGGTCAAACGGTATTTCTAGTTCTAGATCCTTGAGGAATCGCCACACTGACTTCCACAATGGTTGAACTAGTTTACAGTCCCACCAACAGTGTAAAAGTGTTCCTGTTTCTCCACATCCTCTCCAGCACCTGTTGTTTCCTGACTTTAATGATCACCATTCTAACTGGTGTGAGATGGTATCTCACTGTGGTTTTGCATTTCTCTGATGACCAGTGGTTATGAGTATTTTTTCATGTGTTTGTTGGCTGCATAAGTGTCTTCTTTTGAGAAGTGTCTGTTCATATCCTTTGCCCACTTTTTGATGGAGTTGTTTGATTTTTTTCTTGTAAATTTGTTTAAGTTCTTTGTAGATTCTGGATATTAGCCTTTTGTCAGATGGGTAGATTGTAAAATTTTTCTCCCATTCTGTAGGTTGCCTGTTCACTCTGATGGTAGTTTCTTTTGCTGTGCAGAAGCTCTTGAGTTTAATTAGATCCCATTTGTCAATTTTGGCTTTTGTTGCCATTGCTTTTGGTGTTTTAGTCATGAAGTCCTTGCCCAGCATGGTGCTCTTTTCTTCATCCCATGTCATGTTTCCTTTTGCTGAAAGTTTGCTAAAGACAGCATGTTATTAAAACACTTCTTTGTCCCATGGCCCCATGAGATCACCCAGGAAGGGTCAGTTAAGCAGTTGGTTGCTCATTGGGCATTTCTTTTTTGGTTATATATGTGCTCAGTACATTTCTAGGCACATGGAGAAAAAAAGTCAGGTCACGTTTTCTGTCTTTGAGGAGTCTGCAGTCACATTGGAAGACGTAAACTTAAAAAAAATTGCTTAGAGAACAATGAAGTTCTTAATCACAGCTATGTGGTAAATGTAGGATTGCCAAAAAAAAAGAAGAAAAGAAAAAGGGAGGATAGCATAGGCTGGAATAATTGGAGCACAAGCAGGGTGGTATGCAAGTGGTTGTGGACAGATGGCTAGAGATGGAAAGATGGATGAGACATAGGAGGATGAAAAAAGTTTTTTCTACCGGTGGAAACAATTAGAACAGGAAAAGGGAGTATTCTGGGCTAGCTTCAGAGATTGGGGTAGTGGTGAAATGGTGGAGGGAGTGAGGAATGCGTGTATGTGTATATATACATTTCTTTTATCTCTTTTGTTCTTTTTGGCTTTTCCCTTTGACATGAAGGTATAATTTAAAGTGAGATTAAGAAAGAAAAAAATGCCACTTTTTCTTGCACCTATACTTAATGTATTTTTAATCTATTTATTTTACCAACCAGTTTTTGAAGGCAGAGGATGAAAGTAACCAACCCTCAAAATATTATTTTTAGGACAGTTACTAGTAATTACTGAATACATTGTCTGACTTTCCATTTTGACCAACACCTCTCCAGAATTGATTTCAGGGATTTTTCTTTTTTCTTAAACAGGTCTCTCTGTCAGAAAATCCACATGAGAAGAATTTGTATTAATGCAATAAATTGAGAAAAATAAGTACAAATAAGATTATCACATGAATGTCAGCCTATGAATATCTACACAGGGGAGAAATTAGACCGTCAGAACCTGTGATTCCCATTCAGTGTTTCCATAGTGTTGTGAATAATCTCTTTTCTTTGCTATGCCGTGAACTTCTAGAAGAAAGCGACTATGTTATGTGCATCTTTACATCCCCGATGTTGAGTATATACCTAATTGGTAGAGGTTACTCAAGTCATGTTTAGTTGAATGAATAAATGACTATATAAATGGAAGTCTAGGCTTCATCCTGTACTAATTAGGGTGGTGCTAGTGCTACAACAAGTAAGCCCCTAAATTAAAGTGACTTTGCACAACAAAAGTATAGTTATCACATATAAATAGTCTAATGTAGTGTTCATGGTTGATGGTGACTGTCCTCTACTTGGTGATTCATGGATCTGGGCTCCTGTCTCGTGGCTGTGCCTTCCCCTAGGTCTTGAGACCACTGCATATGGTTGGCAGGCAGAGAAGGGAACATGAAGAATGTCCAAGTGACATATATCACTTATGTTCACATTCATGTAACTGGAAGTAGCCACATGACCTACCTAGGGATGAAGAGGACAGGAACATATGTCCTTGACTGGACAGTTTCCTCAAAGAGACCACTCAACATATGGATGAGATATATGGATTCTAGTGACAGCTAATCATTTCTTCCACATCCAACTTTAGCACTTCCTACCTGTGTGATCTCAGGCAAGTTCATAGCTTCTCTAAGTTTCTTGTTTTCTTACTTATAAATGGGGATAATATAATCCTGTAAGGATGTTGTAAATATTAGATGATAACGGTGTATTTGAAGTATGCAGCAGTAGAGCTTAGCATATGCTTTATATATAAGACCTGTTATAATATTGTTACTTTTCATATTTTGATTCGGTTAAGATACTTAAGACACTTTAATGTGTTAACATTTATTTTTCTTTAACCATGATCATGGCACATGCAAAGTTACGGCAATCCAAAGAGAACATATAGTTTCTTGTCTTAAGGCAGAAGTAGTGGAAACTTTTAGATTAATGCTCCTACTGGGGCCATGGCACATACTAAGGGTAAGGTAAGGTATGATACCCATTTGGTAGTGTGGACTTTAGACAAAAATCACAACTTTCATTAAACAAAAATTTTAAATAAATTAAAAATTTTATTTTAGTTTCAGGAGGTACATGTGCAGGTTAGTTACATGGGTATATTGGATGGCATTGAGGTTTGGGGTACAAATTGTCACCTTAGCCAGGTAGTGAGCTTAGTACTCAATGGATAGTTTTTCAGCCCTTCCACCTCCTTCCCCTCTCTCCCCTCGGTAGTAGTCCCCAGTGTCTAATGTTCCCATCTTTATGCCAATGAGTACCTAGTGTTTAGCTCCCACTTATAAGTGACAACATGCAGTATTTGGTTTTCTGTTGCTGCATTAATTTGCTTAGGATAATGGCCTCCAGCTGCATCCAAGTTGCTGTAAAGAACATGATTTCATTCTCTTTTACGGCTATATAGTATCCCATGGTGTATATGTACCACATTTTCTTTATCCAATTTACCATTGATGGGCACCTAGGTTGATTCCATATTTTTGCCATTGTGAATAGTGCTGTGATGAACATACAAGAGCATTTGTTTTCTAGGTAGAATGATTAATTTCTTTTGGATATATACCCAGTAATGGGATTGCTGGGCCAAATGGTAGTTCTGTTTTAAGTTCTTTGAAAAATCTCCATACTTCTTTCCACAGTGGATAAACTAATTTACATTCTCACCAGTAGTGTGTAAGCATTCCCTTTCTTCTGAAGCCTCACCAGCATCTCATTTTTTGACTTTTTAATAATTGCAATTCTGACTGGTGTGAGATGGTATCTCATTGCGTTTTTGCTTTATATTTCTTTGATGATTAGTGATGTGGACCATTTTGTCATATGATTGTTGGCTGCTTGCATGTCTTCTATTGAGATATGTTTGTTCCTGTCTTGTGTTCGCTTTTTAATGGGGTTGTTTTTTGCTTGCTGAATTGTTTAAGTTCCTTACAGGTTCTGGATATTAGATCTTTGTCAGATACATAGTTTGCTACTATTTTCTCCCATTCTGTAGGTTTTCTGTTTATACTGTTGGTATTTTCTTTTTTTCTGTGCAGAAGCTCTTTAGTTTAATTAGGTACCTACTACTTGTTTGTTTTTGTTTGTTGCAATTGCTTTTGAGGACTTAGTCATAAGTTATTTCCCAAGGCCAATGTCCGGAATGGCATTTCCTATGTTTTTTTGTAGGATTCTTACAGTTTGAGATTTTACATTTAAATCTTCAATTCATCTTGAGCTAATTTTTGTTTACTGTAAAATGTAGGGGTCCAGTTTCATTCTTCTGCATATGGCTAGCCAGCTATCCCAGCACCATTTATGGAATAGGAAGTTCTTTCTCCATTGCTTATTTTTGTTGATGTTGTTGAAGATCAGATGGGTGTAGGTATGCAGCTTTAATTCTGGGTTCTGTATTCTATTCCATTGGTCTATGTGTCTGTTTTTGTACCAGTACCATGCTGTTTTGGTTATTGTAGCCTTATAGTGTAGTTTGAAGTCAGATAATGTGATTCCTCCAGCTTTGTTCTTTTTGCTTAGAATATCTTTGGCTATTCTTTTTTGTTCCATATGAATTTTAGAATAGTTTTTTCTAATTCTTTAAAAAATGACATTGGTCATTTGGTAACAATAGCATTGAATCTGTAGATTGCTTTGGGCAGCAGGGACATTTTAATGATATTGATTCTTCTAGTCCATGAGCATAGAATGGTTTTCTATTATGTTATCTGTGATTTCTTTCAGCAGTGATTTGTAGTTTTTATAGAGGTCTTTCACTTCCTTGGTTAGATGTATTCTTAGATAATTTATTTTTTCTGTGTGTGGCTATTGTAAATGGAATTACATTCTTGATTTGGCTCTCAGCTTCAACATTATTGGTGTATAGAAATGCTGCTGATTTTTGTACATTGTTTTTGTAACGTGAAATTTTACAGAAGTCAGTTATCAGTTCAAGGAGCTTTTTGGCAGAGTTGTTAGAGTTTTTTAAGTATAGAGTCATACTGTCAGTGAAGAGAGATAGTTTGACTTCCTTTTCATATTTGGATGCCCTTTATTTCCTTCTCTTGCCTGATTGCTCTGGCTAGGACTTCTAATATTATGTCGAATAGGAGTTGTGAGAGTGAACAGTCTTGTAAAAAGAATAATTTTCTTTTGAATATTTACTGCAGATCTGCTAAGAGAAATTACATATTATCACTGTGAAAGGTTGATTGTCTTGTAGGCTTACCCCATCCTAGTGGAGCTAGATGGGATGGAGTTTTTACAAACTTGTCTCATAAACCAAAGGGAATAAGAACCAGGACACTGGGGAAAGGAGATCAAAGGAATGTAAGGGCTCTGGGTCATGGGAAAAGAAGAGAAGGGAAGGAAAGGGAAGGGAGAAGTGAGGAAAGCAAATGGAGCTGTGATGGGTCACCGAGATTTTCCTCTCAGAACTGAATTACTCAGTCTCCAGATGCTAACAGTGCGCTGGCTGCTGAAGGCGAACAGCTGAGTCCTCTGTCAGAAGTTGCCCTTGCTTGAAGGCAGCTGCTTAGCCCAAGGTTACAACCCTTCTCTAATCAAGTTGGCACTGCCAGGACTCATCGTAGGCATTACTGAAGGGTCATCCCGGCTTGGTAGTTCCTTGTGGAGTTGGCTGAAGCTTCTGTTGCAATCAAGTGCAACTTCTCCTTCTGCTCAGGCCTGTTTCTCTTATCCTTCACAGCTGTGGTTCTTTAAGCACTTCTCTACAAAGTTTCTGAATGCAGATCTCCATCTTACAGTCTGTTTCCTGGAGAACTGGACCTATGAGAATAGAGAAGGGAAAGGAAGAGAAGGGAAAGTAAGGAAAGTAAAAGAAAGGGGTGAGAACCCAAAGGAGAGGGGATTTTTCCTTGTAGACCATCATATGCAGTCATTCCTGAAGGCATCTAAATTGAAAGACCCCTTCCTGTTAACCTCCAGGAAAATTACTCAGAATAGTTAGACAAACGACTCCAACTTGAAGTAAAGGACTCTTTGTACCTTCTTCTGGATTCCCTTGGTGTGCTTGCTCAGCTAACATTGAGATTATGTAATAATTTAATAATTTTAATAATTTAATAATTCTGCTCACCTTCCACTATAAGGGCTAGTACTGGGTTTAGGTAGTAATTCTGTATACAGCCTGCTTTGTTACAAAATCTGTTTTCTCCATCCTCTCCCTGCTCTGCACCATAGTCGAACTTAACCAGCTCTGCTGTGAACAGAGCAACACTGTATGTGCAGAAGAAAATGTATTTGTTAGAAGAAAAGGGAAAAATTGTACTTATGGTTTCTATAGTGAGGAGCTTCCACCAAGAGGCCTTACGCTTCTCTCTCCTGCTAGTAGGATATGGAAGTGGGTTTCATGGTCTTCCATACCAAGCATACAGTGGGCCTGCAAAAGTTAAATTTTAAAATACATTATACTGGCCCTGTAATCAGTATGGTCTTACTAGCTGGGGTGAGAGGGATTTGCTGGAAACACAACTCTGAGACTGGGGAAGGTGGGGCCCCATGGACTACAAATCCACATCCTCATACATGTCTGCTTAAAACCATTAACCTTCAGGCATTCTCAGTTAGCTTTATCTATTTGCTGCCATTTATGGACTTGTTTCCTAATAAGGGCTCCCACTTGAAGGATACCGTTAATATTCTACGATTTCCTTCTATTTCAAGAAATTCTGTTTTCTTTGTGGGTTTGCCACTATGAGATTCAATTTCCCTGATAGATGTGTGTTTTCTGCCCTCCCTTGTGTGATTAATTCAGAGGAAGCATTTATCTGTTGTGATCTAAATGTGTATTTGTTTTACCCTGAACCAACAAGACAATTACAAATGTTGTCTTGCCTGCAACCATAGGCTTAGAAATGCAGTTGTCACAATGTAAGCCGCAAAGCATGTGACTTCGGGGCTCTGTGCTGACACTTGACTAGCTGAATACATGCAGAAGCCAGAAAGTGGAAAATTTTTTACTGGCGATGACGAATGATTTTCTGCCCTGCAGAACTGGCAATGGACTTTGCTTGGACCTTAATTTGACCCAGAGTTGTTCCTATAAGTATGCAGAGTAACATGACTGTCTCACTTCCCTACAATACTATATGCCTGGGGAAACTCCAACAATATTAATTGTGTGGAAGTGCCCTGACTTCTCCCACCTGCCTCAGGGTTCTCATGGACTCTAAAAGCTCTGATGGGCCCCAGCATCGGAGACAGACTCTGAGACTGAATGGATCTTGAGCAAGCAGCTCATCCTGTGTTGAGGACCTGGGATAGGGCTATTGCTCACAAAGGAAAATTCAGGGATGGAGCAGCTCCATTGATATCCTGGGGAAGGTGGGGCCCCATGGACTACAAATCCATATCCTCGTACATATCTGCTTAAAACCCAGTAGCCCTCTGCTGTCATGTGCTTAACATTCAAAACAAATTCTTTACTGCTTTCAGGGCCAGGCCAAATAAAGTTCTGAAGGCAAAGACGATAATGAAAAATACTGGTAACTGTCCCATCTTTGTTATTAAAGCTGAAAAAATATGACTTAGATGGTACCCTTCATAGTGACAACCCTGAGTATCTAATGCTATCTTGAGATGGTTCCTCAGGGAGCAGTTTTATGTCATTTTCTTGTAACTGTCACTCTAATGTGCTGAAGTGAAGCTTTATTGTCATTTGCATATTCTGAAAGTTTACTGAATTTTAAAAATGTGTGCCTGAGAAATAGCTTGTCTTGATTTATTTAGGAATTTGGATTTTTTTTTTCCTGGTTGGAAATGCCACAAACCTGGCTGCTACACTGATCATTTATTTAGTATAGCTTTATGTGGAGTTAGTCCAAAGAGTTAGGATTTAAAAAGGTATGCTTTTAAAAGTCATGATTCCCATTCACAGTAAAATAAAGGAGTCATACGTGTAAGAAAATACTTGGAGTCTGGAATTCCCAGTATAACGCTATGGATTAAGTGTTCTAAGAGCAGGCAAGAAAGTGAAGGGGAGCATTGACCATGTCAGCTTGAGGTACTTTCACAGTGGGAGTGGCATTTAAAGTCGTTTTTGAAGGAATAAGTAGGAGTTTGGAGGATGAAGAAAGATAGCAGAGACCACTCCAGACAAGGGACAGAGTATGAAAAGGCAGGAGATACAACACAGGGGGAGGGTGCTTGTGGATCTGAAAAGTGTTCTGTGGCCAAGAGGGTACATAGAGATTGTAAAGAAGCTGTATATGATTGCCTGAGGGATTTACAACAGACACGTGGGGCCATGGGAGGCTTTTAGGCAGGAGAATGAGTCAAATACTACATAGAGTAAGGTGACTGCACCTTTAAGAACCACCAGTGAGGGACTTGAACCACCAGTGAGGAGCAAGAAGGGAGGTGTGAGGTCCTAACTTCCTGATTCACTGGCTTCCTGCATGCTCCAGGGTTCTTCCTGTCCTGGTGCAGGAGGTATGGTTCTACTTTCAGCATTGGACAGAGGAGCTTTTTAGATCACAGGAAAGAATGTATGATGATGGAAGCTGTTCCTGGAAGCTTAGCTTAGTTTATGCCTTTTTCTTTAGTGATTGTGTTAAGCATTTAATACCTGACAATAAAATATTGTTTTGCTTAAACTAGCTATCATAGTATCTGTCATCTACAACTGGACTCAAAATGATACAGCATCCCACCAGGCCTGCAGGCTGAGCTAGGAAGCCAAGAAAGAGACAGCTGAGTTTTGTCAGACTTGATGAGTGGGGAGTAGGAACCAGGGCACATATGCAAGTGGAGATGGCTCATAGCCAGGGACGAAGACAAGTGAAACTAGGTGGAGACAGAGCTGGGGAGGGTGGGAATGCCTCCTGGCACTGGGCGTCTTTGTGAAGTTAAGGGTTGCTTTCACTGGATGTCAATAGGTGAGGCATACCTTGGCATTAATAAGGAAAACATGCCAATAATTTTGTGAACCTCCCAATATGCTATCACTGTGGTAACATTTAAATCTGATCACAGAGGGCGGTAAAGCATGATTAAAAAATTAAATGAACCTATTTTACTTTATTTTATTTTGAGACAGGGTCTTACTATGTTACCCAGGCTGGAGTGCAGTGGCACAATCATGGCTCACTGCAGCCTTGACTTCTCCAGACTCAGGTGATCCTCCCACCTTAGCCTCCTGAGTAGTTGGGAGTACAGTTGCATGTCCCCACTCCCGGATAATTTTTTTTGTATTTTTTTGTAGAGACAGGGTTTTGCCAAGTTGCCCAGGCTGCTCTTCAACTCCTGAGCTCAAGTGATCCACCTGCCTTGGCCTCCCAGTCCGAAGAGCTAGGATTACAGGCAGGAACCACAATGCCTGGCCCCTCTTTCAGATATTTAGTAAAAATTGTTTTGTGTATGTGATGAGAAATAGAAAAAAAACAAAGCTGCAGAGAGATGCTAGTTTGCTAGTGTGCTAGGCAGTTGCTAGATTCACTCACCAAGTCCATCCTCAACAAGCTGACTGATCTTTGCAAGACATGGCCCTTTAAGGTTCACTTGCATTTGAAACCACAAATGTTAAATTCATAAATACTAACTGTCTGTGTTTTTGTATGTTAGTTGTAGGCTTGTTTTTTAGTTAGACTAATAGATTTGAAAGTAAATCTGCCAGACAAATACTTTTCTTTTTAAGTACTTTGTGTGTTGGTTGGAAGCTTGTTATTTAACAAATACCTGACAACTAAATTATTAAGTCATATAGCCTTAATAGTCTATGGATAAAATTGAAGTCATTTCATTATTAATGTTTCATTTACAAAGCCCTTAGTGGCTATCTTTTGCCTCGAATATTTCAGATTTTCCTTAGTTTCCCTCATTTAAAGCTAACAAAGACCTGGATTGGTGTAGACAGCAAATATTTTTTCTAGAATTTGGTCAGATAATTAGAAAGTAGACATATTGCTTCTGTCCTTCCAGTTGGATTTTATATTTGAGTAGTTTATCAGAAATTACAAATTTGAAGACTGATGGTGGCTCTAAATGTGTTTTGTTTGCATGATTTATTTTGTTTGCATGATTTCTATATGATTTCTACATGATTTCTATATGATGCTTGAATTTAGTTGCCAACAATAAAAATTGAGAGATCTTACCAGAAAGCCCAGGTTTCCCAGCAACCCGGGTGCTCATCTGGCTGGAGCTGAGTAGCCCTGATCCCATTGGAAGGGACATGGCACTCCACCTCCAGGTGGCCCCAGCCTGTGTGCTGCTCGTTTCCCTCATTTACATTGCCTACCTGACTCCTATGGGCATTGAAGTTTATGACCCAAGTTATGGCTTATGATTGAATAAATAAAAATTGTCACCTATAACTGGAATACAGGGTCCTCTGAAAAATCATGATGTTAAGAATATCCAACTATTGGTTATTAAAACTGTATTTGTAAGGTAATCTTCCTTGTGAAAAAAACTTTTTTTTTCAATTCATGGTCTGAGCTATGCAGAGTTTGAGGATTCACCAAGTATAACCTATACTACATTACCATTATCCTTTTTATTCAGCATTCACTGAGCACCAACTTGGAAAAGAAATTTTGTAATCAGGGCATTTATTTGGTCCCTCCTGTGATCCTCCAAATTGCTTATTTATTCCATCATTTAGGCTTCTCTATCTTCGCCATGTTCTTGGGCGACCTGGTTCTGCTCTATTTCCTTCTCTTTTCTCCAGTGCGTTGTTTGATGCACTAATATCTGTATCATCTTTTTTCTCATTCTTTTGGCTTGAAAAATGTATCTTTTAGTAATGAAGTGCATGCCTACAAAATAAGCATAAACCTATAGCCACTCTTCTGGTAAAATATTCAAAGAAAGCCAATATAGCTCCTCTAATTTACATTAAAAAATTAAATGCATCTATGCATTCATTTGTTCAGCAGATACTTGTTGAGTACCTCATGTGTGCCTGATGTTTCTAGATCTGAAGGGTGCCATAGTGAATAAAAGAGAACAAGATCCAGCCATATCCTAGTGGGAAGACAGGCACTGAATGAGCATATTGGAGTGTCATGTCAGGCAGTGGCAGTGACATTGCCATGAAGAACCATGATGCAGGGTAAGGTGATGGAGTCACATGGGTTCTGCCTTAGGTGGGCTAGGAAAGTAAGGCAACATTTGAGCAGAGACCTGAATGAAGTAAGGGGATGAGGCATGTGGATGTTTTTGGATGCTTTCCTGGCTGTGGGAACAGATCCTACAAGGGCCCTGAGAAAGGATATTCGTGGTGTTTTCTGGAAGACCCTGAAGGCCAGTGTGGCTATAAGTTAAGTAGGATTTGTAGGCTTTGTAGCCCATGAAAATGACTGGGTTTTACTTTAATTGTAATGGGAAATCATATAAAGTATGTTTGTTTGTTTGTTTGTTTACAAAGCGTGTTATGCTGAGGAGCAGAGCAGGCCATGGAGAATGCCTGACCAGTAGTGGGATTATTCCTGAAATCACGTTCAGGTCCCATATGATTGAGGTGTTACACAGCTTGACTATAACCATGGCCAGTTGTTCTGCTCCTGCCGGGCCAGTGCCTCCAGGCTCCTTCCCTTCTCCTTGACTACCCCTAACTCCCTCCTGCTGGTGTAGGATATTCCTTAGAGAGTGTAACACAGCGCAAAAGCATCGCATGCAGGCTTGTCATACATTTGTGATTTGTGATGTACTTGCATTGGTGCTCATTTGAGTCTTCTGGGAGAACATGGATTCCAGGAACAATGAATGTGTGATGTAAGCAATATGAATATCTGGATGTTCACTCAGGGATGCATCTGCATTTATTGGAACTGATAGCAGAAGTCCTGGCTTGGCAGCATTCTGTTCAAAATCCTCCAGGTGCACATTTGGATGGGTATGCATTTATTCAGGTGCATCCGTTAGGAAAGGTAATTTTGATAGAAAAACTAATTTGTGATACCCCATTGACCAAATGGCAAAAGCATTTACTTTCCCATACTCCAAAGCAACTCAGTAATGATATAACTGTTTGGAATTATCATTCTCATGTTAAGGACTTTATTACTTTTCCTCTTATAATGCCTTATCATAAGGACACTGATTTACCTGTTTTTCTAGTAGAGAAGGTGGTCCACCATTAACTTCTAACTAAAGCCCGCTGATAAGTGTTCCCATGTCAAGTGTTCATTTTCATCTTAAGTTAGAAAGATTATTATAGTTTTGATTTGTTCCTGTTTTCACTGTGGCATGATTTTTAATTCCAAGTAATACTGCAGCACGCTTCAGAACGTTCCCTCATCTCCTGTTTCTCTGCCCCTTAGTCACAATACTCCAGGCATCCTGGCTTTCTTGTTTCCAGTCTCAGTTTTTGAACTTGCTGTTTGCCTGAGCAACTCTTTTACATGTCCACATGGCTCTGTCCCTCACTTCCTAAAAGTTTCTGCTCAAAGTTTAGTTTATGACTGAAGCCTTTTCTGACCATCTTTTGTTAAATACTCCACCTATCTCAAACCCAAGGTCTGACACTGATCTCTTTTATTCTGCATTACTTTTCCCTGTAGCAGTTATCACCCCCAGCATGCTGTTTACCTGCTTGGTTACTTGCTTATTGCCTCCCTCACTGGAGTATGAGCTCCATGAGAGCAAGAACTTTGTTGTGATAATTGCTCTCTCCCTAGTTCTAGAACAGTGTTCCTCACAAAGGAGTCACTCAATAGTCTTAAAAATGAACAATGATGGCTGGGTGTGGTGGCTGATGCCTGTAGTCTCAGCACTTTGGGAGGCCAAGGCGGGTGGATCACCTGAGATCAGGAGTTCAAGACCAGCCTGGCCAACATGGTGAAACCCTGTCTCTACTAAAAATACAAAAATTAGCCAAGCGTGGGGGCGCATGCCTGTAATCCCATCTACTTGGGAGGCTGAGGCAGGAGAATCACTTGAACCCAGGAGATGGAGGTTGCAGTGACCCGAGATTGCACCATTGCACTCCAGCCTGGACGACAGAGCGAGACTCCATCTCAAAAAACAAAACAAAACAAAAAAACTATGCTGATAAATGGCTGATGAAGTCAAGGTCAAGTTCACCTCTGTTAGTAGCATATTTTCACCAAATGAGCGACTTTCCATGGAGTAGCTCCATCAAAAGCCCAAAGTAAGTAATCCTTCTAGCCAAGTGTTTGCACAGGCCATTTTTCTTTGGGTATTGGGCTGATTTTTCTTAGGAAAGAGGAATTTGCAAGTGTTGGTCCACACTAACAGACTGTATTGGAGTGGGTCTCTGAATCCTTGTTCTTCAAAGTGTGGTCCATGGGAGCCATCTTATTGCCATTGCCTGGGAGCTTGTTAGAAATGCAGGATATCAAGGCCCACCCAATCTACTTAATCTGAAATTGTACTTTAACGCAGGTGATTCCTATGCATAAAGTTTGAGAAGGACAGTGCTAAATCACCTGACTTTGACCTAGAAATCAGAGGATATCTTCTTTTTCATTTAACCCTGTTTTGGAAATCATCATTAGTAAATGGGCTAACTTAAATACTTGATACTCTTTTTTTTTTTTTTTCAAGTTGAAAGCGAATATGGATTTTGAGTTAGTCACTTAATCTCTCCTTAAATTCCTTTTCTCTATGAGGAGGCAGTGGTCTAAAGTATTTGTGTGTGTATATATGTGTGGGGTATGCCTTCCAGACCCAAGCTGGAGCAGATCTGTGGATATCTTCAGTCCCACTTTCCCCTCTCCATTTCCTAACTAGAGTTTTCCAGGACCCTGTAGAGCCACAGATGGAGAAATTCACCTTCTCAGGAAAATGGTGATAACATTCTATTTGAAGAGAGTCATCCAATGCCCTCATTCCCAGAAAGAATCCCAACCGATGTGTTAGTTGGATTGGAAAAAAAAGTTATTTAAGCCCTTACTCTTGTGTCAGATACTGTTCTGTGTGCTTATAAATTTATCTAACAATAACTTGGTACGATGAAAGTGATGCTATTGTCATCCTCATTTAAAAGTTATGGAAACCAACTCTTGAAAGGGATCAGTCATTTGTCAAGCTCACACAGTTTAAGTAAAGAAGCTGGGATTGCAACCCAGGTGGTCTGGTCCCAGGGCCGGAGGTTTCACTATTTTTGAGGGAAGATCTTGCAATTTTACTACTACCTGTTAGAGAGAAATATGAATTAAATGTTGGTAGAAGGCAATTGCAGGCACTTCAATGGGACTCATTTGAAAGGCAAAAGTATAAAATACTGAATTTTGATCTGAATTATCAAGCATTATTTATTTCCTTTGAGGCTTATAGTTTAACCTTTTGTTATGCAAAGCTGCCAGTGTGATTTTTCCAATGCAGAAACTGTCCAGAATGATTAACAAGTTGTATTTATTATTCACTGTAACTACACTAACAAGTAGAATAACTTGAGATTGTTAAAATTGCTCTCAAACCACCTTCAGGCAATCATTAGCATGCAAGCAAGAGGAGGCCGCCCCAAATAGTAATTCCAGTGACTTGATGAGGGGAAGGGGAGGGGAGTGGGAGAAGGAACCATAGTGTGTTTAACACCTTTTATGTGTGAGGCCTGTGCTGGGTGTCTTACATACATTATCTTATTTAATCTTCACAACACATGAATTAGGTAGTATTATTTCCTCTGCTTTATAAAAGAGGAAAGAACGAGGTTTGGAGTTAACTATTAACCCGATGGAGGCAGGATTCCATATAGGATTACCTAACCTCAAAGCTCATCTGTTTCCCAACTTAACATTTTGAAGAAAAACAAGGAAATATTTTAACAGAAACAGATCAACATATTTATTTTTAAAATAAACATTTCCCCACCCTAGTTAAAATAATGCTGTTCTCTTTCTCTCCAAGCTCAGATTAGTTGGCAATGGTAATAGAAGTAAATTGAAAAAAAAAAAAAGATTAGTGGTTTCCAAACATATCATTGGCTGCCTGAAAAATACAAGAGTAGTGAAAAATTGATATATCTGTATTCAGATACATTATCTGTTACATGTCCAGGTCTAATAAATTACCCATTTGTTCACTTTCTTTGAAGGAGGGGTTGGCTTTGCTTGGAGATATAAATATATACATGGCTTCAGCTACTTCCCCAGCATCATACTCCATGGCTTGTGTGCGTTGATCTGTGCGATAAACACAGGCGGCAGGAAGTCTACCCTAAATCTTCATTCTAGTGATTTCCTTTGCTGGATGCAGTTGCCCTAATACTGGTGAATTCTTCAAATTAAAAATCCACGCTGATTTTACCTGTCCTTGTTCTCATTTCCTACAAAGACAAAACAGATTTTGATTCAAATAGCCTAGTCGTCCCTATAAGGCAGAATTTCTTGACATATTTCCAGGCATGTTGAAAGTCTGCAAAGGAGAGGAGAATCTCTTTTCACTTCAAAATGCATACTGTTTTTCACATTCCAAAAGGAAGGCAGCTGGGGCTCTCAGTCACCGTGGAAGCAGGCTGGCTTTCTGCATTTTTGCAAAGTGGCTTTTATAGCCTTTAATGAGGCAGCAGCCCCAGAAATTGCTAGAGAATCAGCATATTGAATGTCTTTCCCCTATTCCCAGTTCAAGTGGCTTCTCCAGTTTAAAATTAAGGACTTCCTGGAAGTCCTCAAGATGACTCATTCTTATGCTGCATCTTCATGTGGCCTTCCTTACATAGGGATTTAACATTCTAGTAATTTGGGGCATCATTTTTGAATGTGGAGTTATCAAAGCTTACAGACTGATCTTTTTAACTTGAATAACCTTTGCAGTGTCTGGTACAGAATGAAAAGGGAGGGCAATCATGTCTCCTGTGCCTTTTCCCTATCCTGGGCTTCTTAAAATCCGTCCAGTTATTCTCTAGTGACAGTATTTTTCAGCTTCCTGAGGCAGCCAGCAAAACTCTGATGTAAAAGGATTTGTCATTTTGATTCTAGTTGAAATGAAGCATTTTGTACAGTACATGAAAAAATATAGAAGTCTTTTCAGTGAATGAACAGCCTATTATCCATAGCAAAACTACAGTGTTTTATGTCTGTCTGAGAATTACTGATTACAGCAACAGCCCAGGCAGAAAGCAACTAAGCTGCTGCTGAATTGTTGTGGCCTGAAAATAGATGGGAGCTTTATTTTTTTTTTAGAACGCTTTCAATTGGTGCCATGGTCTCCATTTTCTAAAGTATAAATAAGATCTTTGGTTAGAAATCCTGAGGGTAAAAGGCAGCTACATAAATGCAGGAGACATTCTATGACTGCCTGGTCAATTTTGGAGTTAGAAGGGAATGATGGATAACTGATTTGTTCCACTAATGACAAAGCTCGCCTCTTTGAAACCGGTTTACCCTCATCAGATGATCTATCAGCATTTCCCAGCTGTGTCTGTGACAACCAATTTGAAAGGAAGATCAGTACCATTTATGACTAATATGTCTTGATTTGGGGGAAGAAAACGAAGTCTTTTATGGAGACTTACTACAGCTTCAGTATTCAGACATCATGACCACCAAGGTTCGAGCTTGTCTTTTTGTCTCTTGGTACAAAAATGCTAAGTACAGGAGAGGAAGACAAGAAAAAAGATGTTATCACAGAAAGGGTTGTTTGATATTCTGAGAAATTTGTAGTAATCATAATCACATGGAGCGCTTCATGTTCTTGCACTCAGGGTCTGCTTCATGGGCTCATGACCTGTGTGGTCACACAGAGCTGGCTCTCAGAAGGTTGCACTTGGTTTAATGCTCTGCTGTTGTCTTCTTAAAATAGTTGATCATTTTTGAACAAGGGATGCTCTATGTTTATTTTGCACTAAGCTCCACAAATGTAGACAGTGCCGCTTGTTGTTTAGAATTAAAAGATGGGTAATGTGAGGACTCTGACCAAATGTTCCAATCTCTAGTTGATTACCAATTGAGATTGCTTTCCTTTTTCATTCTCATTCTGTTTTTCTCCTTTTGTTCTTTCCATACAGAGAGAAAATTTATATAATGTATAGTTGAGACAGTCTGAGCTGAGGTCATTCCTCATTTACTTGCTGTGTGACCTTGAGCAAGTGACTTTATTTCCCCAAGCCTTCGTTTAATTACTAATGAAGTGGGAATGATAATAGCATCTAAGTCACAGAGTGGCTGTGAGGAGTAAATTAGATAATGCTTATAAAACATCTAGCATAGTACCTGACCATGGTAAGCACTCAGTAAATAAACTATAAATTTTCTTTTACTCCAATATTTGGAGGCATCCACATATCTCTAACATTTTAATATAAAAATTTTCAAACATACAGAAAAATTAAAGAATTTTATAGTGAACACTCATATCCATGTCCTAGATTCTGTCATGAACATTATACTATACTTGCTTTATTGTGTACTTATTCATCTACTCATCTCCCTGTCCACACACCAATCCATCGTATTTTTTGATACATTTCAAAGTAAATTGCAGGCACGAGTACCTGAGTACATTTCCCCTAAATATTTAAGCATGAAAATCTTTAGAGCTCAATATTTGTTATATATTTTTTTTTTTTGAGATGGAGTTTCGCTCTTGTTGCCCAGGCTGGAGTGCAATGGTGCAATCTCGGCTCACCACAACCTCTGCCTCCTGGGTTCAAGCGATTCTCTTGCCTCAGCCTCCCAAGTAGCTGGGATTACAGGTATGTGTCACCATGTCCAGCTAATTTTGTATTTTTAGTAGAGATGGAGTTTTTCTATGTTGGTTAGGCTGGTCTTGAACTCCTGACATCAGGTTATCAGACCACTTTGACCTTCCAAAGTGCTGGGATTACAGGTGTGAGCCACCATGTCCAGCAATATTTGTTATATTTTTTTCTTTTGTGGTAATGCAGTGAAATCCCCAAATCTTAAGTGTATTTTTGCTGAGCTTGGACAAATGCTTGTACTGATTTAAGCCAAATTCCTATTAAGTTACAGTCTTAGCTTGGGGTGCTATAACAAAGTATCATAAACTAGGAGGCTTATAAACAACAGAAATTTATTTCTCACAGTTGTGGAGACTGGAAATCTGGGATCAGGGTGCCAGCATGGTCAGATTCTGGTGAGGGCCCACTTCCTGGTTGCAGACTGCAGATTTCTGGCTGCAGCTTCAAATGATACACAGAGAGAAAACTAGCTACCCTTCTTCTTATAAGGCCCCTAATCCCATTCATGAGTGCTTCACCCTCATGACCGAATTACCTTCCAAATTACCACCTCCAAACACCTTCTGTTAATGAAACCACTGAAAGGATTTTTTTTTTAAAGAGTCTTTATTCCAGCAAGCAGTTTACAAACCAGGGAGAGGCAGCCTTTGCTACAAAACAAAGACAGGCGAGAACAAACAGAAGAGTTGTCCTTTATAGAAAAAGTTGCCACCCAGTTTGTTACTCCAGTTGGCTATGCAAATGAGGGATGCAAACTTGTTTAGTTCTGATTGGTTGACATTAAGATTGAATGCAGGTAACAGTTTCTGATTGGTTGACATTAAGACTGAATGCAGGTAACAGTCTATTGGTTAAGTTCAGGTGGCCAAATGAGACTTTCCAGGGGAGAATGTCACAGGATCCTTAGGGTGTTTACTTTCCCAGCGGGAAACCTCTGTGGCTGGTGTTGCCTTTGCCTGAGTTTATTTTTATTTTTATTTATTTATTTATTTTTGAGATAGGGTTTCAATCTGTTGCCCAGGCTGGAGTGCAGTGGCACAATCTTAGCTCACTGCGACCTCTACTTCCCAGGTTCAAGCAAGTCTCACGCCTCAGCCTCCCAGGTAACTGGGATTACAGGTGCACACCACCATGCCTGGCTAATTTTTGTATTTTTAGTAGAGACGGGGATTCACCATATTGGCCAGGCTGGTCTTGAACTCCTGAACTCAAGTGATCCACCTGCTTCAGTCTCCCAAAGTGCTGGGATCACAGGCATGACCCACCACACCCAGCCTGCCTTTGCCTGAGTTTTCTTGGGCCTGCTGGGCTCATTCCACCCACTTGGCCCAACAGGCTGCGCTTGGCTTGCACTACTGGTCCAGATCCTATGCCTGCCAAGGGTGAGCCAGGCATGTAGTAGCAGGGGATGTGTAACTGAGTGAGTGTGGGGTCCAGCCAATGCACACAGCCAGGTGCACCAGCTAGATCTGGGATGGCAGCTCCAGGCACCAGCACAGATGCTGGCTCTGTGCAAGGCTGCAGTTGGACCAGATGTATTGCAAGTAGCTTCTGCTGCAGGCATCAACCTCTGGACAAGGAGACCATGGTGGCATCCAAAAGCTTGGAGACACCAGGAACTGCAGAGCTCCAAAGAGAGTGTTACAGAATGTCACAGCCCCGGTCTGGGAGCCCCAAGGTCTGGGCTCCTAGAAGGGCCACAGCTCTTCTCTTCTTGTCGCCTGCAGCATGGCAAGCGGGGGGTGTGTTTCAGCCCTGTTCATGTTACAGCTCTTTCAGTCCTGCCATTTGGCAGGTCCCGAGTTCATGTCCCATGTCCAGGAAGAATGAGATATGTGGATAACTGGAGGGTGAGAGAGGAGCTTCACTGAGCAACAGAACAGCTCTCAGGAGACTCAAAGTGAATAGCTTCTTTCTGTAGACAGGTTGTCCCGACAAGTGTTCAGTTCTCAGCAGAGAGGAGACCCATGGTGGGTAGCTCCTTTCCATGGGCAGGTTGTCCTGAAGAGTTGAGGAGACCTGAAGTGGGTAGCTCCTTCTTGTAGCTGGTAGTCCCTATGTCTGTCCAAGCCTGGCTGAGTCCAGGGTTTTTATGGGCTCACAAGGAGGAGGTGCATGCTGATTAATCCATGGTCCTGGAAAAAGCATCATAAATTTTCACTCCAGGCTGTGGACTCCACTTAGAACTGGCAGCCTGGCCCCCAGGCTTCAGGCCATCCTTGGCTAGAAGGTAGAGTTTCACCAGGGACCTGTCCCTTTCTGCCCAGGAACCTGTCTGCCTCCTTGTGTCAACATGCTGCCTCCTTGCATCAATATGCTGTCTATACCGCTCAGGCTGTTTGTGCTGAGGGGTGGCTGCAGGCCTGCACTGAGCTGCCCTTAGCATCCCCCATCTGGCTTCCCTCCCATGCTCATCGGTGCCCAAAGTCTGGAGGGGGCTAAGGTGGCAGGGGGCTGGCTTGTCAGTGCTGCCCCGAGTGTGTGGACACCTGGCCGGTTTGTGACAGTGCTTGGTCCTGGCCACAACCTTGCTCCACACCAGAATGGGTGCTGGGAGCAGGGAGAGGCCAGGGAGTGGGAGCAGGCACCTCTGAGCCTGCGGGAGCCAGGGGCTTCCTGGGCACCCCCCGAGAGCAGGGGTGCCCAGGTCTGCAGCTGCGGCTGGGCAGCTGCAGCTGCACCCAGGAGTATGGGGCTCCCACCCCACCAACTCAGTAAATAGTGGGGCTCCTGCATGTTCCCGGGCCCTGCCAGCTCCATGGAGTGAACGGCCCTGGCTGTACCTCCCTCCCCCACTGCAGCTGGCATCCCCACAGCAGCTGCTCCAGATGGGCCACCACTGTCATCAGTTTGTTCAGGTGGCATAAACAGGAACACACAGCTATGGAAGTCTCTAAGTTACACAAGTGTGTGGTTTTCTCAGGAATGCAGAGTGTGTGTGTGACATCTAGTCAGCAGGTGGCCACTTGCTTCCATTTTGAATTTAGGCCTAGTTAGCCACTCAGGGTTCATCATGAAGAACTGGCCATTTCAGGATTCATACATCACATTGGGGATTAGATTTCAACATATGAATGCTGGGGAGATAAAAACACACAGTTCCTAACAGTTACAGAACTTTATCATTACCCCTAGATACTCTTATGCTCCTTCTCAGTCAATCCCACCCCACTCTTCACCCACAGAGGCAGCTACTATTCTGTTTTTTTTTTTTAGGTTAGTTTTGCTTGCTCTATGACTTCATATAAATGTAATCATATACTATATACTCTGTGCAGCTTGTTTTATTCAGCATGTTTTTAAGATTCATCCTTATTAGTGAGTATTCAGCACTATATTTGATTTTATGGCTGAAAACTACTTCATGCATAACTGTCCCATGGTATGTTTTACCATTCTCCTGTTGATGGACACCTGGGCTCTTTTCAAATGTGGGCTATTATGAATAAAGCTGCTATGAACATTCTTGCAAAATTCTTTCTGCAGAAATCCTGGACCGGAGAGTAAGTAGTTTTATAAGAAATAATCATAAATTGTCCCAAAGTGGCTGTATCCAGTGGTGTGTTGGTAAATGCTTATCAACAGACTCCCCCCAAAAGAAGAAGACCAAGAAGGAGGAGGAGGAGGCAATGATGGCAATGATTATCACCACCACCAATACCAGATGCTAAATTGCCAATTCCATCATGTAACTCCCACCATGGCCAATTTCAAGCTTCCAATGTGGAGTCATTGGAGGGCTGAGATGGGAAGAGATGTAAGTAATTTTATCTTGAGAGCCAGGTGGATTCTGCACACCACTGCTTGTACTATTTTATATTCCCATTGGCAGTATGTGAGCATTCCAGTTGCCCTATATTCTTGTCAACACTTGGTTCTGTCAGTTCTTTTCATTTTAGCTGTCTTGGTAGATGTTAGTAAATTTAAAATTTGGATTTCTATGGTTACTATGTTGAACACTTTTTTATGTGCTTATTGGCCATTCACAGCTCTTCTATAGTGAAAAGATCTGTTGAAATCTTGCCCATTTTTTATTGGGAAGGTTTGTCTAAGAAACATTTGTCTATCTCCAAGTACTGAAGATATTCTCCTACCTTTTCTTCTAAAAGCCTCATTATTTAACTTTTATGATTAGTGTATAATTCATTTCAAATTAATACTTGTATTTGGTGTGAAGTAGAGGTCAAAGTTCATTTTCTGGCATATGGATGACCAGTTTTCGTAGCAACATTTGTTGTGACTTTTCTGCCCCCGTTAGATTATCTTTGTCAAAAACTAAACTCATGGTTCTATTTTTTGTCTCCCTACTCTGTTGTATTGATTTGTTTGTTGATTATTATACTAGCGACACATTATCTTAGTTACTATAGCTTAATAGTTAGTTTTGAATTCAGGTAGTGTAAGTCCTCTAGCTTTGTTCTTTTCCAAGAATGCTTTGAATATCCTAGGCCCATTGCTTGCATTTTCCCATATTTTCTACTAATTTTTGTCTGAGAATGTAGCATGCCATTTTTTTTATATAACGACCTGTCTACTTTTGAAAGTTAAAAGTTCTTTTTAACATTTAGCGTATTATGAGTACTTTATAAATACTAAGAAATTTTCCAACATTGTGGCCAAATCTTATCATTGTTATTTTATTTTATACAAGGAGTAACTGGATCAGAGAGGTTAATTGGTAAATGCCATATGATTATTTGGTGAAGTAGAAGTCAGGTTTTCTGCTTTTAGGGACAGTGAATTCCATTAGACCGTGCTACCTGAGGCAATCAGTGTCAGTTCTTAATACAAGCAGGGTGCTAGATTTTCTAGTGGCCTGCCATCAAGTGAAAGTCTCAGATTATTTCTGAAGTATAAATATGTGCTGATAATTACCAACTATTGTCAGTGACCTTTGTTGCTTTATCTAACTTGTATCATAGATTGGGAAGAATGCTAGTGGACTATCCAAACAACATTCCCATTCCAAACATGCTGTTTGGATTCCATATTGGAATCCCTTCTAAGAAATGTTAAGAGCCTAAGGAAGCCAATTAATCACTCTCTCTCTTCCTTTTAAATTGTGATCCACTTGAGGTATACATAGAAAAGTTAGATAAGACTCAAACATTGACTATAATGCAGGCAAAGTTGATTCAGAATCTTATGTTCAAAGTGGGTTTCTGCTTTCTTATACCCTGGATTGAACCCACTCACTTAGATGTAGACTATACAGCTAAATAATGACAAGTCTTTCTACCCCTGTAAGGCCAGGATCTGTCCTGGGATGCATTCCCACAAAGAGGAGACAGAAATGGGGGAGAATGGATGTGATCTGTGTTCAGGCAGCTCTGAAAGGGAGGGAGCCTCAAGAGAACCTTGTCTAAACATGACATGGAATTTCTCCCCCTCCCATAGGGTGGAGCATCTAAGGGTAAGAAGAGAAGGCAGAGCAAAAGTTTCCTCTTAAAATGAGAGAGGTGGGCCCTAGGCAGAAGTGTCAGAAGAAGAATCTCTGCTTGTCTCTTTCAGTCATGGGGACCCGACTCCCTGCCAGGGCAACCTACTTATTTTTAAACATCTCCTTTTGTGATAAAGTTCTTCCTTATTTTAAGTTGAAGCTGCTTCTTTGATATTCTACCTTTGGTCCTAGTTCTGTTTTCCTGACACTCATGGGATAAATCTACAAATTATTTTGGCAGAGTTGAAGTACTTGAGTATGTTGTTGTATCTTTATTCTCTGGCCTACATTTAGCAGTTCTTAACTTTCTTACATCTGAAATGTACACCTTGTATTCTTACCTGCCCTGTGTCCGTTCCTCCATTCTTGAACTCCTGAGCTCAAGCAGTCTGCTTGCCTCGGCCTCCCAGAGTGCTGGGATTACAGGCGTGAGCCACAATGCCCAACCCATTCCCCCCTTCTCTTTTATTTTAATAGCATCCAATTTTTCTTTAGGGAATCTCTTCTTTCATTCCTGAACTGTTTAACTGGCTGGTGCTATGGTTTTAATGTTTGTATTCACTCCAAAATTCACATTAATCCTCAATGCAACAGTATTATGAGGCGAGACCTTTAGGAGGTGATTAGGGCATTGAGGGCTCCAACTCATGGATGGGATTAGCACTTGATAAAAGGATTGGAGAGACCTAGGTGAAACTCTTTTTTGTCTTTCCACCACTTCTGCTATGTGAGGATAAAGTATTCAAGGCGCCATCTTGGAAGCAAGGACTGGGCCCTCACCAGACACTAAACCTGCCAGTGCCTTGGACCTTAGACTTCCCAGCCTCCATACTATGAGAGATTAATTTGTGTTGTTTATAAAATACCCAGTCTCAGGTATTTTTTATTATAGCAGCACAGACTAAGACAGATAGGATTAAACATTGCCTTTATCATCTCCCTTTTCTCTGCCTCCAGGAGTAGGTACTTGATTTCATGGCCAGTCAGTGGATTTGAAACACCAGGGTCAGGAACTCACATGAACTTTGACTTCCAGGGTAATAGTTGTATTCTTTGAATATTTATCTTCTGCCATACTGCAACATCAAAGCCTTATGGAAACTCCAAATATTTTATTGATGCCAAGTTTGCATCCAGTCAATTTTCTGGAAGAATTAGACACTAGCCAAATAATTCTTCAGTTGCATCGACTTGCTATCATTGAAATGACCTCTAGAATGACTGGAGAGAAATTTCTTGGCAGTTTATGTCTGGATCCTCTGCCCCTTGGTTGCACATATATTGCTACGAACAAACAGGCAAGGTCCTTTCTGCCGGGTGTGATTGCCTAGGTGAAGCTGAACTGTTCTACTCAATAAAATAAAATGAAGCAATCTATACTTCCCTTTGGATTCCTACAAATTACAATGAATGATGAAGTTTTTATTTTGCCATCCTTATTTTCTATAATTAAGAATGAAATTTATTTAGTGAATTGTGCTGGCTACTTAGTGTTTCTGCATTACCCAAGGTAATTGTTACTTAGAGCCAGTTCTTTATTGCCTGCATTTAAAGGTTTATTTTTCTTTTGTTGTGGTTTCTTGGCTTTGCTCCTGGCAGGGCTGACAAATTAATAGGCATAAAGTACTATAAGTATTTGCAATTAAAGCAAAGTGGTAATAAAGGTCACCTGTTCCAAGAAAGCTTCTCTTTCAAAAATCCTGCTGAAATCAATGCACATTGAGTATGAATTGTTCTCCGTGCTGTAGCTCCTTTTCCAAAATCAGGTTTCAAACATTTTTCTGCTAATTCAAAACAAGTAATAATTGCAAGTGGTAATCTTCAGCTTTACCACATTTCCTTGATTGTTGTCAACTGTATTTTGAACAGATCTCTCTCTTATAAACAAAAGGAGACAGAAACAATTGCACTTATTTTAGCCCCCACCCCACTCATTTAATTCAACAAATATTTATTAAATATGTCTTATGTAGTCAAAGCTGGAAATGTAGAGATGCAAAGCTATAGACTATCCCCTTAAAGAGTCACAGTCCAGTAGATGGAGATAGAGATAATTGCTGAGTGATGTGATTCGTTTAACAGCAGAGCAATGTTGGAAGTACAAGGGAAGCTGTGATTAATTTCATCCTGAAAGGTAGAATGGGTAGTCTTTGGGAGATGTGCTTTAAGGGATGAATAGAAGTTCTTCCTGAAAACAAGTGGGAGAATAGTTTGTCAGGTGGAGGGAGGAACCTGTGCAAAGCAAGGCAGGGTCAAACAATCTTTCTCATTTTGGAAACTACAAGCAGTTTGGCGTTCCTGGAATATAAGGTATGAAGTGGAAGATGTGGAAGTCTAGGCTGAGTGATTATGTCATGAAAGAACCTATGTTGGAATTTATCCACTGGGAATAAAATGATTTTTAAAGCAGAGAAGTGACATGATTATCAATATATTGGGGAAGATTGCTCTGGAAGTAATCTATGATCAGATATTACTTGCTAATTTTAAGGGAATGGGAATATGTGGTCAGTAGCCAATTATTTTTAAGTTGGGTCTAGGAAAGCATAAATAATTGAAGTCCTTAGGTGAAAATTATTTGGCATAATAAGTAAAAAATTGGTATCAGGTTTGGTCCTTATTCCATTGTCACTACGTAACTGTGACAAAAATAACTTCTCTGGGTCTTATTCCTCTTGTTTCCTTATCTGACCAATGAGGCAGTTGAACAAATTCTCTGTAGTCTCTTACAATGCTAATATTTTATAGATGTCACCCAGTAGATTCAGTTTACTTCTCCATCATATTTTTTAAAAGAGCTTGAGTGGCAAGCAGGATTTTCTCCTGTCAATAAAGGATAGGACATATTATATTCACTGAGAATAGGATAGTTTATTTACTCTGATTAATAAAGAATTGCTGGGCCTTTTTTAAGGATCTCCCTCTCCACCCCCCACTGATACTATATATGCTTTGATAAATCTAAAATTTCATATCTTGGATTCCAACTGAAAGTTTAAAAGTCTGAGGAGATTTAAGGCAGAAATCATATTTTATTTATCTATGCAGCTCCATTATCCTTAGTGGATTTTCTTTCTAAAGAGATAACTAGCAGAAATCTTTTTAGGCCCTTTTAATTGGCTTTCTCCATGCTTACCATATTTTCTATGCATCTACTTTTCTACTTAGTTTGAGGAATTGGAATTCTTTTTCATTTATCTCGAGGATTATAGACTCAACAGAAATGGCAATGAAATAGCTGTTCTATGTTACCAGAATAGGTTGAAGAGTGGGCTTTTTTCTATAATGGTTTTCATCTGAAGTGAGAATAATGTAGGGTCAAAATAGTTGTTCCTAAGTAGTTAGCCAATGCAAATTACCTCAGATAATCAAATACTTGGGAATTTTTTATCCTGAGCATTAGAGTTTGTTATAAATCACTTTCATTGGCACATGGATTAGGGTGTACTCATGGTCCGATTGAGTCTTTTGAATTTAATGATACCAATTCTGATGTAACATACATAACTTTTGATGTAAATAATACTTTTGGCTTTTAGCACCAATGCAAAGGAGCAATGGCATATTGTATAAGGGCTGGAGATCTGGAAGTAGAGAGTCCTAGAAGGCACATAAAAACCATTTTTAAATTACCATTGTGATGAAAGGATTACAAAATTTTCTTTTTTAAAATTTATTTTTAATTTTTATGGGTACATAGGTGTACATATTTATGTGGTACATGAGATATTTTGATGCAGGCATACAATGTGTAATAATCACATCAGGGTAAATGGGGTGTCCATCACCTCAAGCATTTCTCCTTTCCTTGTATTACAGACAATCCAATTATACTCTTTTAGTTAGTTTTAAATGTACGATAAGTTATTTACTGTAGTCACCCTATTGTGCTATCAAATAGCATATCTTATTCATTCTATCTAACTATTTTCATACCCATTAACCACCTTCACTTCCCCTGCCCAGCTCCCATTATCCTTCCCAGCCTCTGGTAACTATCCTTCCACTCTCTACGTCCATGAGTTCAGTTGTTTTCATTTTTGCCTCCCATGGATGAGTGAGAATATGTGAAGTTTGTCTTTCTGTGCCTGGATTATTTCACTTAACATAATGTCCTCCAGGTCCATCCATGTTGTTGCAAATGACAGGATCTTATTTTTTTTTATGGCTAAGCAGTACTCCATTGTGTATATATATCACATTTTCTTTATCCATTCTTCTGTTGATGAATACTTAGGTTGCTTCCAAATCTTGCTATTGTAAATAGTGCTACAATAAACATGGGAGTGCAGATATCTCTTCCATATACTGATTTCTTTTGGATGTATACCTAGCAGTGGGATTGCTGGATCATATGAGATAGCTCTATTTTTAGTTTTTGAGTAAACTCCAAACTCTTTTCCATAGTGCTTTTACTAATTTACATTCCCACCAACAGTGTACAAGGATTCCCTTTTCTCCACATTCTCACCAGCATTCATTATATCCTGTCTTTTGGATAAAAGACATTTTAACTAGGGTGAGATGATACGTAATTGTAGTTTTGATTTGCATTTGTCTGATGATTAATGATGTTGAGCATTTTTTCAGGTACCTGTTGACCATTCATGTGTCTTCTTTTGAGAAATGTTTATTCGGGTCTTTTGTCCATTAAAAAAATTGGATTATTAGATTTTTTTTTCTATGGAGTTGTTTGAGCTCTTTATATATTCTGGTTATTAATCCCTTGTCAGATGGATGGTTTACACATATTCTCTCCCATTCTGTGGGTTGTCTCTTTATTTATTGTTTCCTTTGCTGTACAGAAGCTTTTTAACTTGATATAATTCCATTTGTCTATTTGTGCTTTGGTTGCCTGTGCTTATGGTGTATTACTCAAGAAATCTTTGCCCAGACCAATGTCCTGGAGAGTTTCCCCAATGTTTTCTTGTAGTTGCTTCATAGTTTGAGGTCTTAGATTTAAATCTTTAATCCATTTTGATTTGATTTTTATATATGGCGAGAGATATTGGGTCTAGTTTCATTCTACATATGGATATCCAGTTTTCCCTGTATCATTTATTAAAGACACTGTCCTTTTTCCAATGTATGTTCTTGGCACCTTTGTCCAAAATAAGTCAACTGTAAATGTATGGATTTATTTCTGGGTTCTGTATTCTGTTTCATTGGTCTACATGTCTGTTTTTATGCCACCCAGTACCATGCTGTTTTGTTACTGTAGTTCTGTAGTATAATTTGAAGTCAGGTAATGTGGTTCCTCCAGTTTTGTTCTTTTTGCTCAGGATAGTTTTGATTATTGTGAGTGTTTGTGGTTTCATATAAATTTTAGGATCGTTCTTCTATTTACTTAAAAAATGTCATTGGTATTTTGATAGCAATTGCACTGAATCTGTAGATTGCTTTGGGTAGTATGGACATTTTAATAATATTGTTTCTTCCAATCCATGAACATGGAATATCTTTCCCTTTATTTGGTATGTCCTCTTCAATTTCTTTTATCAATGTTTTATGGTTTTTATTGTAGAGACCTGTCACTTCTTTAAGTTTATTCCTAGGTATTTTATTTTACTTACAGCTATTGTAAATGGAATTACTTTCTTGGTTTATTTTTCAGATTATTTGCTGCTGGCATATAGAAATGCTACGGATTTTTGTACATTGATTTTGTATCCTGTAATTTTACTAATTTTTTTTTTTTACCTGGTATAATAGTTTTTGGTGGAATCTTTAGTTTTTTTCAAAATATAATATTTTTCATCTGCAAAGAAGGATAGTTTGACCTCTTCCTTTTCAATTTAAATGCACTTTATTTCTTTTTCTTGTCTGACTGCTTTAGCCAGGGCTTTCACAGCTGTGTGGAATAACAGTGATGCAAGTGAGGATCCTTGTCTTGTTCCAGATCTTAGAGGAAGGGCTTTCAGTTTTTCCCCATTCAGTATGATACTAGTTAGAGGGTCTGTAATATATGACTTTTATTGTGTTAAAGTACGTTCCTTCTATACTCAGTTTTTTGAGGGTTTTTTATCAGGAAGCGGTGTTGAATTTTATCAAATGCTTTTTCAGCATCAATTGAAATGAATGTTTTTGTCCTTTATTCTGTCAATATGATATATCACATTGATTTGCATATGTTGAACCATCTTTGCATCCTTGGGATAAATCCCACTTGATCATAGTGAATAATCTTTCTAATGTGTTACTGAATTCTGTTGGCTAGTGTTTTGTCGAGGATTTTTTGCATCAGTGTTCAGCAGGGATATTGGCCTGTAGTTTTCTTTTTTTGATTTTTTTTTTTTTAATCAGGGTAATACTAGCCTTGTAGAACGAGTTTGGGAGTATTCCCTCCTACTCTATTTTTTCTGGAATAGTTTGAGTAGGATTGGCGTCGGTTCTTTAAATGTTTGCTAACATTCAGCCATGAAGTCATTGGGTCCCAGACTTTTCTTTGCTGGGAGACTTTTTATTACAGCTTTGATATTGGTCTATTACTTGTTATTGGTCTATTCAGGTTTTGGATTTATTCATGGTTCAATCTTAGCAGTTTGTATGTGTCTAGGAATTCATGTTTCTTGTAGGTTTTCCACTTTATTGGCATGTAGTTGCTCATAGTAGCTTCTAATGATCCTTTGAATTTCTATGGTTTCAGTTGTAATATTTCTGTTTTCATCTCTGATTTTATATTTTTGTATTGTTTCTCTTTTTTTTTTTTTTTTTTTTTGCTAGTCTGGCTAAAGCTTTGTCAGTTTTCCTTCTTAGGTGCCAAGCTTCTCTGGCTGAATATCAGCATGGGGACATCCCTATGTGTTGGTAATCTCTAGCTAATTTACCAGTAGTCCAGAGACTCCACATTCAGTCAAAATGGCTCATGTCTGTTCCCAACCAACAGAGAACCAGTCCTGAGTTTCTCCCTTCAGGGAAGTGGGTTCCCCTCTAGCCCAGGGCAGGTCCAGAAATGCTGTCCAGGAGCTAAGGACTGGAATCAGGGACCCCAGGAGCCCACTTGGTGCTCTCTTCCTCTGTGGCTGAGCTGGTTCCCAAGCTGCAAAACAAAGTCCCTTTTATTCTTCCTTCTTCTTTTCTCAAGGTGAAGGGACGTCTCCCATAGCCATCACAGCTGGGAGTGTGCTGGGACACACCTGAAGCCAGCACAGCTCTGAGTCTTACCAACAAGGCCCATAAGGAGTACTGTCCCATGCCTACCACCGCTGACTATTTAGAACTTAAGGGCTTTTTAGTCAGCAGATAATGGATTCTGCCAGAACTGAGTCCTTGCCTTCAAGACAGTGGGTTCCCTTCTGAGCCAGGGTGTCTAGAAATATTGTCCAAGAGCTAGGGCCTGGAATGGAGGCCACAGAACTCTACCCTATTCTAGTGCCTATTTCTACTGTGGCTGAGCTGGTATCCAAGTTGCAAAACAAAGTCCTCTTTACATTACCCTCTCTTCTCATCAAGCCAATGGAAGGAATTGCTCCCAGAGCTGTGTTTACATAAGGCTTAATGAAAGAAAACAAACACAGATTCTTCCTATCTTCATGCAGATTTGCATAGTTTGCATATGATTTGCATAATTTGATGTCAAATGAAGAGAATCTTCAATCTTTGCAACTTTCTTACCAGTGTCTTTTAGTCTTTATTTTTTCCTCCAAATAACTGTAACTGTGTTTCTTGATTTACTTGCTCTTTAGTTTCCAGGATAAAACAACTATAGTTGTAAGAAATCCAGTCTTCACTTTGTCTGATAATATTCTTTTTATCTGTGCATGTTTCAATGATCAGTTGGCTTAAAAGTTGTTGTTTTTCTTATTATACTAGGCTTTTGGGTGTATATCTGCTTACTGAAGTATACGGCATAAAGTCATAGTGCAATTGACTTTATTTATGTGGAGGAGTAATAAGTGGCTTCCTTTTATGGAAAACATGGTGTGTTTTTAAAGTGTGAGGCAGTAGAATATGGCAATTAAGAACATGGATGCTAGATCCAGAATGACTGCATGTGAATCCCAGCTCTGCCACTTATTGGTTATATAAGCTTGGGCAATTACTAAGCTCACTATGTTCAATAGTGATAATAAACTCTATCTTCTTACAGAGTTGTTGTAAAAATTAAATGAGTTCATTCATTTTAAAAATCTTAAGTCAAAGTGTTAAAAAATATTAGATATTATCATTATTTGGGGTCCCCACTAATGCTTTTTTCAACTTGGTACCAGAAAGGGAGATGGGAAGAGGCATCTGAAAAATCTGTATTTATTAATGTTGAAGAAAGCTCTAGGTAGTTAAATATAACTATGTAAAACTTAGCTGCCTTTAAGTTAATCTCTGCACTTAGTCACTTGAAAACAAACAAAAAACACAAAAGCCCCAAACACCTGTCTAATATCCTATTAAAAAGTGCTAAAAACAATAAAAAAATAACAAGTTTCTTAAAAATTCCTTTAAAATGCCTATAGTCTCTTTTATACAGTACGAAGCAGGAAATAAAAATCTTTTCCCCATCTCTTTTTCTTTCAATTCTATATTTTATCAATAGATAAAATAATAATGTCCCTTATGAGAAATGGCATCCTAGATTCAATGAAATAGGATATCTCAGGTGACACACTGAGGAGGACTTCTCACATGCCTTGCTCAAAGAAGGGCACTGAGGAATCACAAAACATCCACCTCAAAGGACTCCTCCACTACAAAACATCCCAGTTGGCTCTTGTCTCTCACACTGTCTTCTCTGGATCTCTTCTTTCCTCTCCTCACCTACCTCCTGTTCTTTCTTCTTCCCTTAGTACAGATTACATTAGCTGTGTGATTCTTCTTGTTCTTCAACTCATCCTGTACCTCAAATCAATGCAACAAAAGACCCAGGCCTGGTGACTCTCCTAGTCACAAAGACCTGTTTCCCTGGCAAAGTAGAGGAAGGGGGAAAGTTGTGATTACATTAATTTGGGGGTCACTGTTGTGCAAGGATAGCTGCAGAGATGTATTTCCAATCCAATTCTCACCTCTCTACCTTATTTATCTGAACCCATTACCACTATCTTTACTCTCATGTTTCCTAGGCCTCACCAAAATTAGAGACTGTGTTGGGAGCAGGCCCCCCAAAATCTGGCCATAAACTGGCCCCAAAACTGGCCATAAACAGAATCTCTGCAGCACTGTGACATGTTCATGATAGCCATAACGCCCATGCTGGAAGACTGTGGGTTTATGGGAATGACGGCAAGGAACACCTGGCCTGCCCAGGGCGGAAAACTGCTTAAAGGCATTCTTAAGCTACAAACAATAGCTTGAGCTATTTGTGCCTTATGTTCCTGTTGCAGTTAACTAGCCCAACCTATTCCTTTAATTCGGCCCATCCCTTTGTTTCCCATAAGGGATACTTTTAGTTAATTTAATGTGTGTAGAAACAGTGTTAATGACTGGCTTGCTGTTAATAAATACGTGGGTAGATCTCTGTTTGGGGCTGTCAGCTCAGAAGGCTGTGAGACCCCTGATTTCCCACTTCACACCTCTATATTTCTGTGTGTGTGTCTTTAATTCCTCTAGTGCCACTGGGTTAGGGTCTCCCCGACCAAGCTGGTCTTGGCAGACTGTATGCATACCTCAGTCTACTGTTGATGGGCAGTGTGACTCAAGAGGTTAACATGATGGTAGATCTAGGAGTTCCTGAGATTTCTTTTGGAGTTGAAAATGGCTTGTGGTTTTCTAAAGTCTTTTAACCCATATAGGTATAGTAATAATCTCTGCTTCATTGCAGAAGTCTTTGGAACATGTAGAAATCAGTGGGAACTCAAAATAAAGGTGGGCAGTCTGCCTTGGTGTGGAAGGGATTGCTTGAAATGTAATCAAGAAGAGGTAGTAAGAGGTAATAATTGAAATGTGTCTTGAGAGATGAGTAAGTGTTGAGTGGGCATGTTTCTGGAGGAGAAATGGGAAGGAATTGGGTAGAAATGTGGGGATGTAAGTTCAGGCAAAGATATTAGCAAATACATAGGAGAGATTCAGAAGAACCCATTCAGTGGACAATAGTTTGGTCTGTGTGAAGCACGGGGTTCAAGGAGAAGGCAGGGTTTGTAGAAAAATATGAAGTTAATTTAGACATACTGAGTTTGTATGTCTGTAAATCATTCAGGTGAAGAGATCTAAGAGGATTGTGTATGGGTTTGGAGTAGTAGCAAGTTTATGAAAGGAAATATGGATTTGGGAGTTTAGAACACAGAACAGGAACAGTTAGGAGAAATGGAATACTAAAGCTGGAGGGGTAGATGGTTGTGGTAGTAGACTATTATAATAATTTAGGGTTTTAGAAGTAAAGCAGTCCTGAGTTATAACAAAGTCTAGTATAAAAAATTCATATTAAGGTGGTGCAAAATTGTATACATTGTAGCATTTATAATCACATTTAAAAATGACTTTGAGCTGGGTGTACCACACCCAGGATTACAGGCATGAGCCTATGATCCTAGCACTTCAGGAAGACAAGGCAGGAGGATTGCTTAAGCCCAGGAGTTTGAGATTAGCCTGGGCAAAATAGTGAGACCCCATCTCTGTAAAAAATACAAAAATTAGCCTAGCATGGTGGCATGTGGCTGTTCCAGCTACTTGGTAGGCTGAGGCAGGAGGATCACTTGAACCCAGGAGTTAGAGGTTGCAGTGAGCAGTGATTGCACCAGTGCACTCCAGCCTGGGCGACAGAGCAAGGCCCTGTCAAAAAAAAGCAAGAAAGCAAGCAAGAAAGAAAATGACTTTACTGTTTGCAGAATTCTTTTCACATAAAATAATAATGAAGTGCATCATGAGAACAGTATTAGGAGTTTGAGTGTCTTCTTTTCCAACTGTCCTGTCTAATTTTACATATAACTTAGTCTGTAATGGAAAGGAACCACTCCTGGGCTCTATAAGCTTTGACTTTTCTTAGACTTCTCTAAAAGATGGAATAGAATTAAATAATTTGGCAACTATAAAGCTTCTTTACATGCAAAGTTAGTTGCCAGTAGGGATATAATAAAAATATTAGAGATTAGCTATTCTAATAAATATTAATTTGTCCCCAAGAAAGAAGGGTAATAATGGACCAAGGCAGGTCTGGAAGGGGCTATAGCTATAGATGAGGTTGAGGCCTTTGAGGACAGTCTTTAGGCTCTGCCCCTACTTGTAGGTGACTTGGATATGTCTTTGTCATTCTACTGAGGATGTCAATGAATTTTATGCTATTGCTTCTTCAGAAGTTGTATGTGTTATTGCCTTATTCTCAGGCCTTTGAGAGGGACTGAATCCTTCCCTCTCCCACATTTCACCCTGTGTAGTTTTACAGTGATGCCCTATAGATATTATATTGTATTTACCACTCTGAAGTCTTTGGGGGAGGTTATGGATTAATTTCATTTATTGAAGGCAGTTCTTGCTGATCTATTTATTTATGTGTTATTTCAAGATGATTTTTACCATGATCAAGCTCTAAACCTTTAACCAGCCATTTACCAAAAATTAAGCTTTTTTCTAAAGAGATGTATGTACAAAAGGCAAGGCCAGACAAATCTATTCTCTTTATCACTATTGGGGTTTTTGGTCACATACCATCCTGTGATTTGTGACTAGGTCTCCTGGATGCTCCCATGTATGACACCTTTCCTCAAGGTAGCTCTGAGGCTCAGACTGAACTGCTTCCTTAGTCTTTTTCCTTGAGTTTCATTCTGTTCTGTTGGGTTCATCCTGTGGTCACAGGAAGCAAGACAAGATGGCTAAAGGAAAAGGAGGACATGTCTCTAGCCTAACACAGAAGGACTAAAGCTGTTTCTACAGGCCTTATTTATCCTGTGGCTAGCCCTAGTGATATGGTTTGGCTCTGTCTCTACCCAAATCTCATCCTGAATTCCCATGTGTTGTGGGAGGGACCTGGTGGGAGATAATTGAATCATGGGGGTGGGTCTTTCCTGTGCTATTCTTGTGATAGTGAATAAGTCTCACGTGATCTGATGGTTTAAAAAACACGAGTTTCAGCCAGGTGTGGTGGCTCATGCCTATAATCCCAGCACTTGGGAGGCTGAGGCAGGTGGATCACAAGGTCAAAAGATCGAGACCATCCTGGCCAACATGGTGAAACCCTGTCTCTACTAAAAATACAAAGTTTAGCTGGGTGTGGTGGTATGCATCTGTAGTCCCAGCTACTCGGGAGGCTGAGGCAGGAGAATCACTTGAACCCAGGAGGCAGAGGTTGCAGTGAGCCAGGATTGCACCACTGCACTTCAGCCTGGCAACAGAGTGAGACTCTGTCTCAAAAAAAAAAAAAAAAAAAATCAACAACAACAACAGCAAAAACCAACGGGAGTTTCCCTGCACAAGCTCTCTTTCTTCTCTTGTCTGCCCCCATGTGAGATGTGCCTTTCACCTTCTGCCATGATTTGAGGCCTCCTCAGCCACGTGGAACTGTAAGTCCATTAAACCTCTTTATTTTGTAAATTACCCAGTCTTGGGTATGTCTTTATCAGCAGCATGACAACAGACTAATACAATAAATTGGTACTGGGAGTGCTGTTGAAAAGATACTCAAAAATGTGTAAGCAACTTTGGAACTGAGTAACAGGCAGACGTTAGAACAGTTTGGAGGGCTCGGAAGAAGACAGGAAAATGTGGGACAGTTTGGAACTTCCTAGAGACTTGTCGAATGGCTTTGACCAAAAAGCTGATAATGATATGGACAATGAAATTCAGGCTGAGGTGATCTCAGATAGAGATGAAGAACTTGTTGGGAACTGGAGCAAAGGTGACTCTTGTTATGTTTTAGCAAAGAGACAGGCAGCACTTTGCCCCTTCCCTAGAGATTTGTGGACCTTTGAACTTGAGAGAGATGATTTAGGGTATCTGGTGGAATAAATTTCTAAGCAGCAAAGCATTCAAGGGTGACTTGGGTGCTGTTACAGGCATTCCATTTTAAAAGGGAAAGAGAGCATAAAAGTTTGAAAAATTGCAGCCTGACAATGCGATAGAAAAGAAAATCTCATTTTTTGAGGAGAAATTCAAGCTGGCTGTAGAAACTTGCATAACTAATGAGGAGCCAAATGTTGATCACCAAGACAATGGAGAAAATGTCTCCAGGGCATGTCAGAGACCTTTGTGGCAACCCCTCCCTTCACAGGCCCAGAGGTTTAGGAGGAAAAAATGGTTTTGAGGGCCAGGCCCAGGCTCTGCTGTGTGCAGTCTAGGGACTTGGTGCCCTGCATCTCAGCCATTCCAGCTGTGACTAAAAGGGACCAAGGTACAGCTTGGGCTATTGCTTCAGAGGGTGGAAGCCCTGAGCCTTGGCAGCTTCCATGTGATGTTGAGCCTGTGGGTGCCCAGAAGTCAAGAATTGAGGTTTGGGAACCTCTGCCTAGATTTCAGAGGATGTATGGAAATGCATGGATGCCCAGGCAGAAGTTTGCTGCAGGGGCAGGGCCCTCATGGAGAACCTCTGCTAGGGCAATGCAAAAGGGAAATGTGGGGTTGGAGACCCCACAGGGAGTCCCTACTAGGGCACTGCCTAGTGGAGCTGTGAGAAGAGGGCTGCCATCCTCCAGGTCCCAGAATGGTGGATCCACCATGCTTGCACCATGCACCTGGAAAAGTGGCAGACACTCAACACCAGCTTAGGAAGGCAGCCAGGAGGGCAGCTATACCCTGCAAAGCCGTGGGGGAGGAGCTGCCCAAGGCCGTGGGAGCCCACCTTTTAGATCAGAGTGACTTGGATGTGAGACATGGAGTCAAAGGAGATCATTTTGGAGCTTTAAGATTTGACTGCCCCACTGGATTTTTGGGCTTGCATGGGGCCTGTAGCCCCTTTGTTTTGGCTAATTTCTCCCATTTGGAATGGCTGTATTTACCCAATGCTTGTACCCCCCATTGTATCCAGGAAGTAACTAATTTGCTTTTGATTTTACAGGCTCATAGGCGGAAGGGACTTGCCTTGTCTCAGATGAGACTTTGGACTATGGACTTTTGAGTTAATGCTGAAATGAGTTAAGATTTTGGGGGACTGTTAGGAAGGCATGATTGGTTTTGAAATGCGAGGACATGAGATTTGGGAGGGGCCAGGGGCAGAATGATATGATTTGGCTGTGTCCCCACCCAAATCTCATTTTGAATTCCCATGTGTTGTGGGAGGCACCTGGTGGGAGGTAACTGAATCATGGGGACAGGTCGTTCCCTTGCTGTTCTCATGACAATGAATAAGTCTGCTGAGATCTGATGGTTTTAAAAATGGGAGTTCCCCTACATGAGCTCTCTCTCTTCTCTTGTCTGCTGCTGTGTGAGATGTACCTTTCACTTTCTGCCATGATTGAGAGGCCTCCTCAGCCACATGGTACTGTAAGTCAATTAAACCTCTTTCTTTTGTAAATTGCCCAGTTTAGGGTATGTGTTTATCAGCAGCATGAAGATGGACTAATACACCTGGTTTCTGCTTGCCTTTCTATAGAGGGGATGTGGAGGCAATGAAGGAAAGGAGGAAAAGGAGAAGGAGAGTGACAGTGGCATTTCCCCCTGCTGTGGGTAGGGTAGGAGTTGGGGGAGTGGAGTACAGGAGAGAGAATTCAAAAGGAAGTCAGGATTCCAGTGATCAAATCCAAAGGAAATGCTATGGGCCCCAGATCTTTAACCTTTATCACACCAAAAATGTGACCCAATATTGTCCTTGCCACCATCATACCCACCATATATGTTCTCCTTAGGAGTGGGTGTAGGAGAATGGGGGAGAGAGCCTTGAGCTCTTTCTAGAGATTAACATTTGGTTTTTTGTTCATTTAATACATATTAATATTTATTGAGTATTGTTCTAGGCACTGTGTACAAATATATGAAAAGTGAGAGGGAGAAATTGAGAGAGAAACTGAAATTTTGGTGGTTAGCTCTGGATTTAAACAAAATAAAAACACTCTTTATCACTATGATATATTTAAACTACCTTAAGAACAACTGTCATATAGCCTATGGGTGGGTAGTTTCTACACCATCACCTGTGAGATTTTAAAGTTTTTCACTCCTTTCCCTCTATATATTTGTAAACAAACATGTGATACTGAATTACTGAAGATTGAGAAATTATCCAAGTCCACTTTCATCCTGAGTTAAGAAATTGGGAGATTTATCAATTTATTGTCTTGGCAGTTTAGTTACCATGGCTGTATGGTTTTTGGTCTTCTGAAAGCCAGAGTGAAGAGTGCCAGGTTATTTGGCAAGATTTCTGTCCCACTGTGCAGTCAGACAGACATATGCTGAAGTGTGGAATAAACCCAAACCTTTTTTTGAACTAGGGACCAGTCGACTTTCTGCAGATGTGGGTCATGGTTACTCATGTAGAACTTTATATTGAAGACCTGCCTGTAGATAGAGAAGATAGTAAGTTTATGGCTCTCTGTTGGTTGGGAACAGACATGAGCCATTTTGACTGAACATGGAGTCTCTGGCTGCTGGTAAATTAGCTAGAGATTACCAACACATAGGGATGTTCTCATGCTGATATTTGGCCCAAGAAACTTGGCACCTAAGAAGCCTTTCCTAGCCAACCCCTAAGAAAAAACTGGCTCAGAGTCTGGCATTGGGAGCTGAAAATAATCCCAATTCCAAGGCTAAGGTACATCTTTTGGAGAAGGTATAAAGTCCTGTTTTTACCCATCTTGTTCTTATTTATTTTCATAATTAATTTCTCTATAAATAGGTACAATTGAAAGTTAACATTTTCTTTACAAATTTCTCTAATTAGGCCAGGTGTGGTAGCTCACACCTGTAATCCCAGCACTTTGGGAGGCCAAGGTGGGCAGATCACGAGGGCAGGAGTTTGAGACCAGCCTGACCAACATGGTGAAACCCCATCTCTACTAAAATACAAAAATTAGCTGGGTGTGGTGGCACACACCTGTAATCCCAGCTACTCAGGAGGCTGAGGCAGAAGAGTTGCTTGAACCTGGGAGATGGAAGTTGCAGTGAGCCAAGATCACGCCACTGCACTCCAGCCTGGGCAACAGACCGAGACTCAGTCTCAAAAAAAAAAACAAAAAAAAAAAAAATCTGGAATTACATTTGAATTCAGCCAAAGTACTCTTCTGTAATACTTTCCAAGTGAAAATATCAGTTCGTTCATTTGTTCTTTCTTTCTTTCTTTCTTTCTTTCTTTCTCTTTCTTTCTTTCTTTCTTTCTTTCTTTCTTTCTTTCTTTTTCTCTCTCTCTTTCTTTCTTTCTTTCTTTTTCTTTTTTTGACAGGGTTTTACTCTTGTTGTCCAGGCTAGAGTGTAATGGCATGATCTTGGCTCACTGGAACCTCCGCCTCCCAGGTTCGATTGATTTTCTTCTTTTAGCCTCCCAAGTAGCTGGGATTACAGGTGTGTGCCACCACTCTCAGCTAATTTTCATAGTTTTAGTAGAGACAAGGTTTCACCATGTTGGCCAAGCTGGTCTTGAGCTCCTGACCTCAAGTGATCCACCCGCCTTGGCCTCCCAAAGTGCTGGGATTACAGGCGTGAGCCAGAGAATTGGTAGAGTCTTTCTGTGTTTTCAGTTAAGTTTAAGAAGTTGAACTCTCTATTTTGGGGGCAGTTTAGAAGGTTCCACACATTTCTGATGATGGGGTTTGGAAACTTCTTCCTAAGTACTAGGAGTAAAGAGTCTGGTAGGAATAACTGGATGTGAAAACATAAAATTAATGACCAATTTATCATCTCATAGGTTTCTTAGTCCCAATGGTGAACCTGTCTGTAAAGTCAGAGAATTTGAACAGCAACAGGTTATTCCCTTCACTTGCACAATTAATTAAAAGCCCTTGATTCTTCCTTGGTGAAAAATGAGGGAGATTTCCAACAGGAGAGCAAATTCTGTAATGTTGGCATGGAATGCTGGAAGCTGAACAACTCTGTCATCAGACCAAACCTGGTCCAATCTTTCTGCTACCTGCTTCATGTTTTGAATAGATTAGTGTCCCTCTTGAGTGCATATGTATTTAATCATTCACTCACATTTGACTTTCTTTCTCTAGGTCCTCGTTTTTTTCTTGCTTATTTCAGGTTTTTATAGAACTGCATTATATGGAGGCATGATTCATATGTCTTATTTTTCCTCCAGTTATGAAATTCTGTTTTCTTTCGCAGAGATTAATGAATCTGCTCTAAATTTCAAATAATGATAGCTTTTGTTTTCTGGTAACTAGCCATGAGCTTTATATGTTTTCTTATAAATAATGTCCTTATTTGAATATCTGCCTATACTGCCATGTTGAAATAAGATTATCTCTGAATTAGCGTGTTTGCCAATTTCCAGGCATAACGCATTCTTGAAAATGTGCATGAAAGATGAATGCATAAAAGATGATCAATGGACTTGAAAATTTCAAGGTGCCATGGGGTGGGATGGATAGCTAGTGCTAGAGAGCTAAAAATGTATTCTAAAATCCTAATTACTCCTTTTAGATATCCTATTCATTGATATATTTGTCTCATTTCATATACATTCTTTAATTTTTTTCTTTCCCATTAAATACATGATTGACAAGTTTAAGTTCCATCATGTCTTGATTGAAAGTTAGGAGTTTCCACTTTTGGGAGAGCTAAGAATTTGCTTCTTTGTCTCTCTTGTATGATTTTGATGAGATCTTCATTTATTATCATTAATTTTAGCATATGAATTTATTTTTGTCTCATTTTGGCTTTACAAAAAAAGGACAAAATAAAATAGCCAAAAAATTGCCCACAAAAGATACTGTGACACAGGCAAAGAAGGTGTCACTGCTGGAACTGAACTGTTAGCCAGCTGGCAGCATCACTATGCAATGGTCTGAAATGGTCACTGGGTGGTTTGTGTTCAGAAGTTTAGGATGGAAAAGGTTCGTTTCGGGGTATACTTATGCAATTGTGAATGTACCAAAGCCTAAAATTATACAAACATGACCTCTTCATATAATAAATATGGCTGTGACTTAAAAAATGGTCAGATATTTAGGAAAAACACAGAACACTGATTGGTTGCTAATTAGACCACTAATTATCAGGAAGGGAAGAGAGTTTGACTCCCTCCTCCCCACTGCCTTGTAAATAAAAGGTGGAACATGGTTTTCCAAGTCAGTGGATTTGGGCTGAAGTTGGTAGAAATGTAAAATTAAAAGGAGGGCACTGAATAAAAAGAATATCCATTCACAGTGAATTAAACAGCTTTTGTTCAGTTAAATTACGGAGATCTTTACAAAAGAGTACATTTAGAAAAATAGATAATCAAAATATTCTATGAGAAAATTATGATAGCAAATACTAAAAGATACTTTGTAGAAATTTGAAATTTGGCTGATGAAAAAGTTTAATTTTTTTTTTTTTTTTCCTGGAGAGATGTTGTGTTAAACAACTATTAACCTCAACAGGAAAGGCATCAGGTTCAAGAGGCTGAAGAAGAGACCTAGAACCAGCAAATGAGACATGGGGTTTTATGAGGGGATTACATACAGGGGAGAGAGTTCAGTGGTGGCGGCTAGATAGGAGAACCCCACCTTACATACAGAAATAGTCCAGTGGTGGTGGACCAGACAACATATCCACTTGACCCAGTGGTGGCGGGCTGGGTAGGAAAACCACAGTGCTTGCAAACAGCATGCAGTTCATACAGCATTTTCACAGAACACTCCCGCTAACGATCTCCCCCTTTAACCTTCATCAAGCTGAAAACTCAAGGCCTCAATTCTCTGTTATGGTCTGTGTTCCACAGAATGGGGCTTGGGGGCTCCTGTGTTTCTCATAGACAGGGAACTAATGTCCAGGTTGGCCACTCCCTAATTCCCTAGCTTGGAATACAGATTCAGGTGCATCTGCCATACAGGGTCATTCTAAAAGTATGCTTCAGTTATTGCTGTCATGTGCATTTACCCTACAAGAGGCTATTTAAATTATAATGTAATAGTGTATTAAAAGCAATTCTTTGGAAAACCTTTGAATGAGAATCCCTCTGGGACTTTGGCAATAGCTCAATGGAAAAGCAAATGCATCTGTAGTGGGCAGGAGCCTCACGGCGGCCCAGATGGCCTGGAACCCAGGGGGGCAGTCCCCAGCCTTCCTAATGACACATTGAAAGGCGATGATCTTTGGCTTGGTCAAAGCCACTGTTCCTGTCCTAGAATGTCTGATTGGGCGGGTATGACAGAAGAAGATCTGCCTGATTTGGTGGTTGTAACAGAAGAAGAGGATACGTTTCTAGACAGATTCCCCCTTCTGGCATTCACTTTGCTTGTCTGTTTCGTACCTACAGTGCTCCAGTTAAACTCTGTTAGTATAATAGTTATTACCCAAACACCACCACCCTTTGTAACCTCTAAGCCTTTACTCTTGTCTGTTACATCTGCCTTAAATCACTTTTCTGCCTTTTTCATCCAACGAACTCCAATCTAGTGTTGAAAGGCTAGCTGATGTGAAGTAGGTTAAGAAGGGAAATTTTAACAACCCTTCACTTCTTCCACCCTAACCAAATACAAAACCAACAAAATTATCTTCTCTCTGAACTTCCATAGCACTTTTTACTTCTTTGTTACATTCCAGTGATTACAGTAATTAGTGTACATTTTTATCTCTTCTACCAAATTATAAACTCTTCAAGGAGGGAAAAAACCACATTTGATTCATTTGCTTACTCATTGTGGATTCTTCTGCCCTCCCCTTCCTCACTTTTCACTGTACTTTGTATATAGTAGACATTCAAATAGTAAATTATATTAAATATTAAATAAGTTTAATATTTATCTTAAACATTAAAGATAAATTTCACTCTGCTATGTAAGATAAGATTAATGCACATGGCATGCACCATTTAAAACTCTGAAAAAGGAAGTTAAATAAAGGAAGGTAAAAGAGTCAAGAGACTTTGTCTTTAATATCTCTTAAACTAAAATAATAATATTATTGTACCTAGTAGAACAGTAAAAAGGCTCTTACTGGACTGTCTTCAGATTCCCTGGAAACACACACTGACATGGGGATTTGTGTGCAAGAAGTTTATTGGGGAGTGCTCTGAGGATGAGATCAACACCTGTAGAAAAGAGGGAGCAGGAAGCAGGCTGAGCAGCTGCAATGGAGGCCCCAGCTGATCCGTGGGAGAGTTCTGAAGCTGAGCGGCACCTTAGAGTTGCTCTGCCTTGGGTCGAGAGGACCGAGTCTTTATACCACTATTATTGGAAAGGTCTAGTGACCTTGGGCTAGGCAGCATGCTGGCTAAAGGCAATCACTAGAAAATAACTCAGCTGAGAGCCATCTTCTACTAACAGTCCCAGCAGCTGAAGGAGTGAGTGCTCCAGTCCTGAGGAGGAGATGTGGGCAGGGCACTGCAGCAGCCAAGGCTACACTAATGCCATTGGGGTGTTGGTCAGTGATTTCAAAAAGTCAGTCAAAGAGGAGAATCATAAAAAATGATACATACACCCACAAATACTCTATTTCAACTTAAAATATAGGAATGTGAGTTGATTTGCCTTTTACTTATAGGAATAAGGCCTTTGAGTATGGGCCACTGGTTGATGTTTTACATCTTGTGCAGATAACATAAAGAGATCATTGTGTAAAATGTTCTGTTTCAGCTTATTTAGAGATGCTTGTGAAACATGGTTGTCTTTTTTACACATAATTTGAAAGCAATATTTTTAGTGATTTGCCTATATTATGTTTTAGTTTTTAAATTTGATTTTATATTTTCTCATATCATAAAAGTACATATTTTAAAGCATCAAACAGTCCTACAAACCTTATAATTAAAAACAGTAGTATTTCATTCCACCTCTCCCTGCTCTTAATACCTACTATTCTCTGTAGGCAATCACTTCAACTCCCTTTTCCATTTTTCATTTGGATTCACCTCTATACAAACATCCCTGTGCTTATGTTATTTTTTGTGTTAATTTTTCAATTTTGGATATTTTCTTTTTCTGAGACAGGGTCTTGCTCTGTCACTCAGACTGGAGTGCAGTGGCACTATCATGGCTCACTGCAGCCTCAACCTCCTGGGCTCAAGCAATCCTCCCACCTCAGCCTCCCTCCGAGTAGTTGGGATTACGTCTGTGCCACCATGCCTGGCTTATTTTTTAGTTTTTTGTTGAGTTTAGGGTCTTGCTGTGTGGCCCAGGCTGGTCTCAAACTCCTGGGCTCAAGTGATTCTCCTGCCTCGGCCTCCCAAAGTGCCAGAATTACAGGCATGAGCTACCATGTCCAGCTAGTTTTAGATGTCTATTCATGCCTTCTACAGAAACTGATGAGTTTTCTTACATCCCCTATCTCTGTCTCCCTCGCCCTGTTCTTCAACACATACTTCCCCTCTTGTCTTCCAAACATGATTGTTTGAAAGTTGTAGCTTCTATCATTGAGCCTGTGTTACTATCACTTAACAGCTGAGCCATGTATTACAATATGATTGCATTTACTTTTCTATGTAACTTTTATAGTTTTTTTCTTTTTTTGGACTTAGTAGTTACCAATAATACTTTGTCTCAATTTCTTGAACTGTAAAATGGTCATAGTAACTGTATCTATCTCGTAGAGTTGTCAAAACTGTATGTTTAACTATTAGTTTTCATGGACTTTGTTTTTTATGTACTAATCCCTAATTCATCTTAAACTTTCTAACAGAGCCGTAAATATCTTTTTAATATACTTGATTTTATATTAAATGCTCAATGAATAAGCGTTGAAAACTATAGCCAATACTCTAATCTGCGCTGTATGAATGACAAAGCCATTTAATTGCAAGAGCAATGCATTTAGAATTCTTGGCAAGGCCTGAAACTGCCCCTTCCTAGCTGTGTGACCTTTGGCTAGCATATTTGAGTCACAGCTTTATCATCTGCAAATGGGAGAATTGGATTAGATAGTCCCTAGGGTCTCTTCCAGCACCATGATTCTATTATGGAGAAAAGCATATGCAGAAAATACCAAACTATGTAAAATATGTCAATGAAAAGAGTCAAACTCTAAAATATTTTGAAGGAATTTATTCTGAGCCAGATATCAAAGACCAGTGACGTGTGACATAGCCCTCAAGAGATCCTGAGAACATGTACCCAAGGTGGTCAGGATACAGTTTGATTTTATACATTTTAGGGAGACACAAGGCGTCAGCCAGTATTTGTAAGAGATACATTGGTTTGGTCAGGAAAGGCAGGACCACTGGAATCGAGGGCTTCCAGGTCATAGGTAGATTCAAGGATTTTCTGATTGGCAATTGGTTTAAAGAGTTAAAGAGTTTAAAGGCCTTGACTCAATAGAAAAGAATGTCTTGGTTAAGATAAGGAGTTGTGGACACCAACCAACCCCTTATCTTATGCAGAGGAGGTCTCCAGAGAGCTGACTTTAGAGATAATAGATTATAAATGTTTCTTATCAGAGTTGATTTCTTTCTCCTAGATCAGGAAAAAGGAAGGAAAAGCAAGGGGATTCTCTTCAGAATGTAGATTTTCCCCAAATCAGTCAGCTTTGCAGGACTATTTCAGGACATGGCAAATAAAACATATTTGGGCTTGAACTACTTTGATTTCCTTCTTTATCTGTCGTGTGATGTTATGCCAGAGTCAGGTTGGAAAGTGAGCCACATTATATAGGGTTAAATAAAACCCCTTTGATGAGACATTATGGATTGTAGGGTGTAACCCACCAGTCCCCTTAGATACAAATTTGGGCAAGAGAAGAAAAAGGTCAGTGTTTAGTTCTCAAATGTAAGATTGCAATGACATAGCTTCTACCACCTCTAGCACCACCTCCAGAAGACCTCTTAATAACCTTCTGGGCAGGATTATGCGACATCACTCACACTATGATAAAGGAGAATTTTGTTGAGTCATTTTATACAAACAATTGTCCTACCCCTTTGGGACACCTAGTTGTAATTTGCGGGCACCACCACTAAATGTCGCTATAGGTTACATAACTAAGTGGTCAGGAGTGCTCTATGTGTGTGTTGTTCTACAAGCTTTGAAAACTACCATTTAATCTCCTTATAGATTTAGAACTACATACCTTAAGTACTTAAACCAAAGTATTAAAAAACCTTGAAATTAAGATTTTTAAAGAAGGCGGTAAAACACAAAATGCTCTTTATTTCTTCCTTCCATATGCCTTTTCCCTCAAATGTTGTTTCTGTGTATCTAGTCACTGGTATAAACCAAGTAAACTGGTATTTAAAGGAACTCTTAACTGAGCAATTGCTTGACTCTCAGGCCTGCACCTTAATGATTTTTCTTTCCTCCAAAGATAAGAGATTAAGCAATAGGAGGAAATACGGGTCTCTTTGTTTTCTGTTTCTTGTGTCTGTTGTATTTCCAAGCTTATCTAAAATCCTAGACACTTTAATGTATTTTATTGATTTTACAAAAATATGCACATATTTTATATTTTAACATTTCTGAAATTATGATGCTTTATATAATTAATAGCAACATACAATTATATTGGTAGCACTTCTCTTTCTTAGTGATATCTCATAATCAACTTTTAATTTGATAAAATATTGTATCTGATATTATAATGTATCCATCTGAATTTATTAGAGTTCAGGGTTGTCTTAAAGAGTTGTTTGACAGGGGAACTTCGTTTTCTAATCAATTTTTAAAATTTTTTTCATTTTATTTTATTGTATTTTTAGAGTCTTGCTCTGTTGCCCAGGCTGGAGTTCAATGGTGTGATCTCGGCTCACTGCAACCTCCACCTCCCGGGTTCAAGTGGTTCTTGTGCCTCAGCCTCTTGAGTAGCTGGGATTACAGCCATGCGTCATCACACCTGGCTAATTTTTGTATTTTTAGTAGAAACGGGGTTTCGCCATGTTGGCCAGGCTGGTCTTGAACTCCTGGCCTCAAGTGATCCTCCCAAAGTGCTGGGATAACAGGCATGAGCTAACGTGCCTGGCCTCTAATAAAATTTTGTAGGGAGTTAAGAGTGGAAGAGATAATAATATTTATTGAATGTCCAGTATAGTCTGGACGTATGCACTTTGCGAATATGATGTATTTAATACTCATATGCTGGAAAGTGGGCTTTTTTTCTTTCTATTTTATGGGTGAGAAAACCGAGGCCTAGAAAGGTCAGTAACTTGTACAACTTGTAACTTGTCATACTACTAGTACGGGTCACTGTTTGAAATGGTGTATTTCTGATTATAAATCTTAGACTTTTCCTACCCTGTTACATTGATATTTTACCGTTCCCTTTAATACCAGAACATTTTTCTAACATATAGAACTCAGCCCTCTTTGAATAATGTAGTTTTCTGACAATCCTTTAAAAATATTGATTAAAAATCTTTGATTAAACAACCTAAGAATGATTTTTCTGAACTCTAGTCTCAATCTTTGTGATCAAAAGGGTAGAACCAGAACTCGATGTCTCCGAGAGGTGAATTGCTTCTCCAGAGAGTAATGGTGCTCTGCAAGAGACAGCATGGGGTGTGTCAAACTCATGTAGAGTGTTTGGATCCCCTTAGTCTTCTGGTAGACCACTTGAGGAGACAGTTTTCAAAATGCCTTGAATTGAAACAAACAACCCCCAACCAAAAAAATAAAAAAATAAAAATAAAACCCCAAGGAATATTTCCTCCAAGTCTCTTCCTTATAGAAAGCTAGTTTATCAGCTCTATGTTATGGTTTCTGTCAGAGTCCATAAGTGTCCTGGAGATCCAGGCTGTAGGCAAGATGCAGTTGATAGGAAATGCTTAGTCAATGTCCCTTTACTTCCCAAGGGGCAAGGCTGAGAAATGAAGAGCAACTTCCTTTCGTACATCTTTGCTTTGACAGTCCTCTGCGTTCAAATGGCACTCACTGGTAAAGACAAGGGCAGAGAGAGAAGAAAACAGCTTACTGATTGTCACTGTGTTTTCACAGGCCAGAGGTACCTAAATTTCAATTCCCAGCAACTCTCAGAAACTGCTGAAATGCATTGCCTTTTAATTCCCTACCTCATATCCTGAAGGGCATTTGTTGTCTACAGGATGTACTTATGTTTTCCATTTTCAATCCTCCTTTTACAGGTTCCCCTCATTTGTAAATCTAAAAATGAAACATTAGCAATCTGTCAGCGGTTCTGTTCCATTCATTTGTCTTGGGGTTTATTATAGAAATACTTTTTATATCAGCAACTTAGGATCTTATGATGATAAATATTCTGTTGTCCCATTTCACAATGATTTCTCAAATAGTGGGCATATGACTGCAACATGTACAGGAAATAATAGCTGAAAATTTGAGATCACCAAGGCATGAGTTGATTACCATTGTTTAAAATTTCTTTGGCTTAAAGATGATACTATATATGCTGAAGCAATTTTGAAATGATATATTTAACTTTCAATCTCTTAAGGGACATAATGACTCTATTATGTGTTATCTGGTTGAAAACCATTGAATGAAAACTATTTGCACCTATTCAGAGCCATCCATCCATCGTCAAAGTGATCACTCTGGGAAGGAAGGCCAAGTGACAAGCCATGAGGCTTTTTATTTTATTTCAAATTCTTGGACATTCCAATGTGAAACCAATGAGAGTATGGGTATATGTGGCAAAACGTTAAGACCAGAGTCACCCAATATCTTTCTGAATACTAAAATTGGGGACCTCTTTCAGTTCTTATGTGATTTCTTAGTTGCATCTCACTCGTTTATTTAATCATTTATCCCTTCAATCATTCTACAAATATTTATTGAACACTGGCTATGTGTCATGTACTATGCCAAGTACAGAGGATACGCCGTCAATATGACAGAGTCCCTGTCTTTGAGGAACTAATATTCTATGAGAGTTACAGGTAAGTAGACAGTTAAGTGTATGATGATAAGCACTGTGATAGGGATAAGTATGATGTGAGGTGGGAGGAGATAGAAAATTTTAGTCCTGATTTGGGAGACTGGGAGGGATTGTTTCCTGGGCTTGTTCTGTGACGACATTCTCGTCTGGCTCTTTTCCTACTCCTCCGACTACCTTTTCTCAATTTCCTTGGCTGGCTCTTCTTTCTATTCATCTTAATAAATATCAGTGTTTTCTGGGGCTTCCTTCAGTTCCTTATTTCTTATAATTAAACACTTTCCTAGGCAATCTCAGTCATATCTGTGGCTTTGACTATCCTTATATACACTGGTGGTGCCTAACTATATCTCTAATCAGCCTTACACTATTAAACTAGTGATTCATTCATTATTTTATCAAACATCTATTGGCTATGAATCATGCATCTGGAGTGACAGAGATGAATAAAATTGCCTTCATTAGCACTCACTGAGTTTTCAGTCTAGCTAGCAAGAACTGCATAAGATATTATAAAATACACGAGAATGAAGGACTTTAGGAACACAGATGGAAACCACTAACTAACTACTCTTCGGGGAATCAGAGAAATCTTTTCGGAGGGAAGTGGCCATTGACCAGTTGATTAGGGGAAGGGATTTTTAGGCAGAGGAAATACAATAGTATGTGCAAGGACTTGGCAGTCTCCTTGGCTTGTCCAGAGAACAATCTATGGGTTTGTGGCTAGTTTATAGGATTCTTACACTGTAAGGATCTAGTGTAAGAATATAGCCTGACAAAATAAGGTGTAGTCGGATTGTCAACAGACACCATCCTTAGATGCAAGTACAGTAGGCACTGAGGGGCCGGCCGAGATCATTAAACAGGCAAATTGCAGAATCACATTTGGTTTAGGTAGACATTGTGGTAGGAATGTAGAGGATGGACTGGTAGCATGGAAATCTGGTAGAAAATGAAATAGGAGGTGACTAGGCTCTGAACTAAGGCAGTGGCAAGGGCAATGAGAAAAGGAAGCTTTATGATTTGAGAGTCTTCTATAGTAGCATCAATAGGATAGGATGATTTGAGAGAAAGGTAAGGAAGGGAGAGGAGTCAAAAAAGACACTGTGGTTGAAAGAATGAATAGATGGTCTCACCATTAACCAAGATATGAGCAATTGGAGACAGATTTGGAGTAGAGGACTATAATATGTTCAGTTCTGGACAAGTCGACTTATAGATGCTTATGGGACATTTGAATGGAGATATGTAATAGGCAATTGGAAATAAAGAATTTGAAGCTTGGGAGAGGCACCAGGGATGGACAAACACATTTAAAATGAATATCATTTAGTTAGTAGTTGAAGCCATAAAAGTGGATGGTTATGTTTATATTCAACAAATCTTTTGAAATATCTACTATTTAAATATCTTTTTAAAATATCAATACATTAAAAAAAATCTATAGCCATTGTGTCATTTAGAGTAGCGAGTATGGCTGGGTGTGGTGGCTCACGCTTGTAATCCTAACACTTTGGGAGGCTGAGGTGGGCAGATCACTTGAGTCCAGGAATTCCAGACTAGCCTGGGCAACGTGGCAAAACCCAATCTCTACAGAAAATACAAACAAATTAGCTGGGTGTGGTGGTGTGCGCCTATAGTCCAGCTACTTTGGAGGCTGTGGTGGGAGGATCACCTGAGCCCGGGGAGGCTGAGGCTGCATTGAGCTATGATTGTGCCACTGGACTCCATCCTGAATGACAGAGTGGGACCCAGTCTCAAAAAGAATAAAACAAAAAGTAGAATAGGAGAAGTATGGCTTATGGCATGGTCACTGCTTCCAAAGAGTTCTCTTGAGATAAGGAACGTAAAAAATGCAATATAAAATGGAAAAGTTTATAGAAGTGTGTACAAGCATAGAATTGGCACAAAGAGAAACGAGATCACAGGAAGGATGGGGAAGACAAGGAAGAGAAAAGAAAAGAGAACCAAAACAGAACTTAGTCAAACTTCTCAAAGAATAAGCTTCACAGCTTCATCATCTCTTGAAGGCATGCATATATCTCATTCTTCTCTATCCTCCCAGCAGTACCCAGCCTAATCCTGGAACATGAATGCTCAGTATTGTTTGTTTAATAAATGGGCCCAGGGCAGTTGGTAAAGAATGAAAGACAAAAAGAAGCATGGGATTTCCCCAAGCCCTGGGGAACACATGAATCATTTCTTGTTATCCTTTAACTTGGAGTGCTTGTGCAGGTGGAACTCAAAATAAACCCTGAAGAAATGAAGATGCAGCAATTTAGAACCAGAATAAGGACTCCATCTGTCAGTGCTCTAATTATGAAATGTGTTTATGGCAAACCAGACCTTTTTATTTTTATTTCTGGTATGCAGTAAAATTGTGTAGCCATCGACTTTCTGTCAAACCATCACTTAGAGAGTCTGAGATAATGCCACATCACTATTCATTTACTAATGACAGTGCTGAGCTTTTAAACAGGAACCCATCACACTGGGCCTGGCAACCTCCATTCTTGTTGTTTATATTATTTGTAATAGCTGGTAATTATGACAATGTCCTTCTTCTTTGACCTTGTCCTTCCTTTCTTCCCCACCTGCCAAATTTGCAGGTTAGTATTTCATCAGCTTAGATTACACATGAACATAGTTTGGTGTTTTTGTTTTCTTTTTAAGATGGATCTATTTAGGAGTATGTTAATATGCAGAATTACTATGAAAAAGAAAAAGGAAGAAAACATTGTGGTAAAAGCCTTATGGTAAAATATATTCCCCTATCCCACTCCCCCACTCCAACATGAAGGATCTTTCTCGGGGTTCAGCACTTTCAACTTCATTGCCTGACTGGGTCATCTGTTTCATTCTCATCTTTCCTGAGAATTTTGAAGGAAGGAATCCTATCATCAAGCACACACAGCTAAGTTTGAGACTAATGTAAGTTTTAACCCTCCTCACACCCATCCCCACAAATAATTGCAATTATGGTATGATGTTTTTCATTGTTTTATCTAGTTGACATTTAGTTTTTCAGGTTAAAAAATATTTTTTTCCTGATTATATTCTATCTCTTGCTGCAGAAAAGATAATGGTTTCTGGAGGGTGAGCTTTGGGAGCTCCTTGAGTGTTTTTCTCAATAATTCAAACTTGCAAGCATAACCACATGTGCATGTATGTGTGTGTATGTGTATGTGTGTGTATGTGTATGTGTGTGTATGTGTATGTGTGTGTATGTGTATGTGCGTGTATGTGTATGTGTGTGTATGTGTGGGTGTGTGTTGAAAATGATCATCCACAGCACTTTTCTTTCCTCTCAGGCACTGCATGGTATTCACTGTATAAGTTATTCAGGTAGTTCAACCAGGAGCATGAGAATTTACCAGTATATACTAATTCAAAGATCAGGCCGGGCAAGGTGGCTTATACTTGTAGCGCCAGCACTTTGGGAGGCTGAGGTGGGCAGGTCACTTGAGGTCAGGAGTTCAAAACCAGCCTGGTCAACATGGTGAAACCCCCTCTCTACTAAAAATACAAAAGTTAGCCTGGCGTGGCGGCACATGCCTGTAATCCCAGCTATTTGAGAGGTTGGGGCATGAGAATCGCTTGAATTTGGCAGGTCAAAGTTGCAGTGAGCCAAGATCGCTCCAGTGCACTTCTGCCCCAAACAACCCCACAAAGATCATTTGAGGAAGAGAAGGCCAATCCCTCCTCCCTGCTATCATCCAGTTGCTCTACAGCCTGGGCTTTAAGTAAGTATGTAGCTGTTTCCTTGCTTCCCAGGCCACCACTGTGTGATTTAGTGGCACAGATATGTCCCTATAAATAGGCATTTGTGAACTCTGTAGGGTAAGTGTGGTTGGAGACAGAGATGTAGAAGATACTGAGAATTCTCAGAAATGCTTATTATAAGCATTTCTATTATTTATACAATACACATCACCTTAAATTCTTACAGAATACTCTAAAGTAGATGGTCTTGTTCCCATTTTACAGATAGGGAGTTCAGGCTCAGAGAATTTCAATGATAAGTCCCAGTCCACATAACAAGGGGCAGAGCTGGGGTTGATCCATTTCCCTTCCATTAGGCTACCCTGTTTCCTAGAGGGAGTCCTTTGGCCCACCTTCACTTTTATGTGAGCATCTTTGAGGAGGATGTCAAGTTGCTAAGAGACATTTGGTAACCATGGCTTTCTTCTCAGTTCTTTTGAAAGTAGGTGGTGATGATGTGCCAGGGTGGAGGGAATGGGGAAGGAGGTGACAGAAGACGAGACTCTGGAGAGAGTAACAGCCAAGAGCTGGCTACGGCTATGGATTTTCTCTGTTCACCTCAAACTTGAGTATGAAGAGTCAGAAACTGAGAATAAGGTTAATGCAACACTTCTGTGTACATCAAGGAAACACACAGTCTTAAGGATGAAGGGGAATTGGGATAATTAATTTGGAGAAAAATCCCTGCTGTCTAAGAACTTATGACCGTGGTGGGTTACACCAGTAATTTGGAAGGAGTTACTCTCCTCAAGGGCATTAACTTTAGTTCCAGGGGGTCTATAACCCCATGCAGTGTTAGCAAATGATATTTCTTCCTGTGAACTATTTTCTTTATTCCTTGCTGCTTTCTTTGGCTTTACCTTGTGCCAGACCTGAAAATCTGGAGCTGTCCGCCCAAGTCCAGCCCCCTCCAGAGCACAGTGGCAGGGTTCCAATTCCTTATGGCAGTGAGTGTGAAGACATTTCTGCATGTAGGGTAATATTTATGGCTTTGTCAGCTGTTGGCACCATAGACATGAGCTCAAGATGGTCAAAGAAGCTTCAGCGAAAGATGAATGTTTATTTAGAATGATGATCTAAGGACCCACGTTACAGTGTAGCCTCTGGGAAGTAGTCCCCTTCTAGTCCAGAACATTGCCTGAGAGAAGGAATTTTTGGTTCAGCAGTACCCAAGGGTCAAATGTGACCAAAGATAGTGACCATTTGCCTTTAGAGTTGCTGTTTACCTCAGAAGGCCTTCTGGCTGCTCACACTTTTGTGTGTGGTATGTATCTTCTTGTCCTCTTTACTGATTCCGTCTGAAGATGTGGTGATTGACAGGCTTATGTGTTTGTTTCCACCCCCACACTGACTCCATGACTCAGAATCAATTGACCATCATCCTGGCCTTAGTGTTAGTATTTATTTCTGGAAAAGTAAGAGCTAGATCTTTCAAGCTTTCAATACTATTACTTTATACAACATATTTAAAACTTATGATGTTTGTCTCATCCTCCTAATAAACTTCCAGGTGGGCAGAAAAAAATATTATGCTCCTTTGAACACCAAATGTGGTGATTCAATCAAATTTAGGAGAATAATTGATGGAACTAGGACTATAGCGAGGTTTTTCTGATTTCTAAATCTATATCCAGGGGTAGACAAATTATAGCTTGCAGGCCAAATCTGGCCGATTGCCTGTTTTTTTTTTTTTTTTTTTTTTTTATGGTCTGTGAGCTAAGAGTGGTTTTCTCATTTTTAAATAGTTGTAAAAAAGAAAACAAAAAAGTGCATAATATTTCATGACACATGAAAATTATATGAAATTCAAATTTCAATGTCTGTAAGGCTTTATCGGAACATGGCCAAGCTTATTCGTTCACATATTGTCTATACCCTCTTTCCAGCTACAGTGACAGAGTTGAGTAGTTGTCACAGAGACCTCATGGAACTTAAAGCCTAAAATATTTACTATCTGGCCCTTTACAGTGAAAGTTTACCAACCACTGAAATAGAAGATCAAGAGAGACCCCTGTATTAGTTTGCTAGGACTGCTGGAAAATGTTGTTTGTTTGTTTGTTTCTGTTTTTTTGAGATGGAGTCTTGCTGTGTCACCCAGGCTGGAGTGCAGTGGCGTGATCTCGGCTCACTGCAACCTCTGCCTCCCGGGTTCAAGCAATCCTTCTTCCTCAGCCTCCCAAGTAGCTGGGATTACAGACCTGTGCCACCATGCCCAGCTAATTTTTGTATTTTTAGTAGAGATGGGGTTTCACCATGTTGCCCAGGCTGCTCTTGAACTCTTGATCTCAGGTGATCCACCCGTCTTGGCCTCCCAAAGTGCTGGGATTACAGGTGTGTGCCACTGTGCCTGGCTATTTTGTTTGTTTGTTTTTGATTGACTCTCACCGTGTTGCCCAGGCTAGAGTACGGTGGCATGATTTTGGCTCACTGCAACCTCTGCCTCCTGGGTTCAAGCAATTCTCCTACCTCAGCCTCCCGAGTATCTGGGATTACAGGTGCCTACCATGAAGCCTGGCTAATTTTTGTATTTTTAGTAGAGACAGGGTTTTACCTTGTTGGCCAGGCTGGTCTCAAACTCCTGACCTCAGGTAATCGGCCCACCTCAGCCTCCCAAAGTGCTGGGATTACAGGCACGAGCCACTGCACCCAGCCTGGACTGCTGGAAAATGTACTGCAAACTGGGTGGCTTAAAATACCAGAAACTTATCGTCTCATGGTTCTGGGATCTAAATGTCCAAAATTCAAGGTGCCAGCAGGGATGGGCTTTCTCTGAGACCCTGGGCAGAATTCTTTCTTACCTTGTCCTGGCTCCTGGTGGTGGCCATAATCCTTGGCCTTCTTTGTTTGTAGGTGCATCTGTCCAATCTCTGCTTCTGTCCTCACATAGTTGTCTTCACCTCATTTTCCCTCTGTGTGTGTCTGTCTTCAAATTCCCCCTTTTTGTAAGGATGCCAGTGTTATTGGCTTAGCACTCACTCTAATTACTTCATCTTAACTGGGTCATCTGCCAAGATCCTATTTCTAAATAAGGTCACATTCACAGGTACCAGGGATTAGGACATCGACATCTCTTTTTAGGGGACACAATTCAACTCATAAGACTCTTTCCACAGTAGCGTGTTGTCCCCTTGTTATCATTTATCATTTGTCTTTTCCTGCCTTCCTCCCTCTGTTCCTCCTTTCCCCTTCTCGCTTTCTCCTTCCTCTTGCCTCCCTTGCCCTATTCACTATATATTTGACAAATATTTATAACATCCCTACTGTGTTCTCATTCTTATGCCCAACACTGTGCTCACGTATAGGGTAGAAAGATGACTAACAGTTGGTCTCTGGTCCTGGTGAGCTTACAGTGCAATGCACAAGATAAATCACCTGTGGTGAGTTTTGTAAAAGGGGTTTATATAAAGTACAGTGGAAATTTGAAGGGATCTTAAAGATTTAAATTCCTAAATATTGAGTAATAATATTTGGAAATCATTGACAGTTCCTATTATTTAATGTACAACAGCTGTGACTCAAAAATTATAGATGCTAATATACATTGAATTTTAATTTTTATAGATTTAGGGGGTACAAGTGCAGTTTTCTTGTGTGGATATATTGCACAGTGGTGAAGTCTGGGGTTTTATTATGTACCCATCACCCAAATAGTGTACATTGTACCAATAGGTAGTATTTCATCCTTTAGCCCCCTCCACCCTCCCCCACTCCCTCGCACCTTTTGGAGTCTCCAGTGTCTATTATTCCACTCTGTATGTCCGTGTGTACACATTGTTTAGCTCCCACTTATAAGTGATAATATGTAGTTTTTGGCTTTACGTTACTGAGTCATTTCACTTAAGATAATGGCTTCTAGTTCCAGTATAGAGTTTCCTTACCATTCCTTTTTTTTTTCTTTGAGACGGAGTCTCGCTCTGTCACTCAGGCTGGAGTGCAGTGGTACGATCTCGGCTCACTGCAACCTCTGCCTCCTGGGTTCAAGCGATTCTTCTGCCTCAGCCTACTGAGTAGCTGGGACTACAGGTGCCCACCACAATGCCTGGCTAATTTTTGTATTTTTAGTAGAGACGGGGTTACACCATATTGGCCAGGGTGGTCTCGAACTCCTGACCTCGTGATCCACCTGCCTTGGCCTCCCAAAGTGCCGGGATTACAGGCATGAGCCACCACGCCCAGCCCCTTATTATTCTTTTAAAGTCAAAATGTATAGAAATGTTCTACTATCTTCTCTGCTACAATTCTTTCAACGCTTCTTCCTTGTAGCATTTACGGTGTCAGATTAGGATATCCAGCATTGGGGTGACAGCCTGAGTACAGGCCTTGTGCCTGGTTTTTTATATTAATGTTGATGGCTTTAGAGAGACTTGGTCTGCAGCTTTGTGGGATGGATCCCGTCACCATTCAGTGCTTTTTGTCCAAATATGTTGCTTTTTGTTGTGTCTTCTTTGAGGCTCTTTGTTGCTCTGCTTTCTGCTCCTGGCACTAATTGGCCACATTCAAACACTGTTGTGAAGTGTGTGAAATGTGTTTTGACAGCTTCTCGTCCCCTAGCCCCAGAGCTTAGTGTCCTGCTGGTCTTGCAGGAACCTCCTTGCCAGGGTCAGGGGTACTTATTAGTTAAGAAAATTTAGGCAAGTCACTTAATCTCTGTGTTTCTTAGTGTCCTAAAATAAGATTAATAACTATTTTATAGGATAGTTTGGAAGTCCAAGTTTAACAATGTGTGTCTGGCTGGGTGCGGTGGCTCACATTTGTAATCCCAGCACTTTGGGAGGCCGAGGTGGGCAGATCACCTGAGGTCAGGAGTTTGAGACCAGCCTGGGCAACATGGTGAAACCCCTTCTCTACTAAAAATACAAAAATTAGCCTGGCATGGTGGTAGGGGCTTGTAATCCCAGCTACTCAGGATGCTGAGGCAGGAGAATCACTGGAACCCGGGAGGCGGAGGTTGCAGTAAGCCAAGATCGCACCATTGCACTCCAGCCTGGGTGGCGAGAGTAAGACTCCATCTCAAAAAAAAAAAAAAAGTGTGTCAAGGGGCTTTAGACATGGAAAGTATTATATGAATGATAAATGTCAGGAGGTATCATTAGGATTGTTACTAATTAAAATTATGCTCTGGAAATTCCAGAGACATTTTCTTCTTTTGTGAGGTCGTAAAAGGCATAGTTATCATTGATGTTAACTTGCTTTGGGTATAGCCTAGACTACTGGTTCTCAAAGTAAGGTTCCAGGACTGGGAGCATCAGCTATACCTAGAAATGTGTTACAAATGCAAATCCTTTGGCCTCACCCCATCCCTTCTAAGTTGGAACCTCCAGGGGAGGGGCTTAGCAATCTGTGTTTTAATAAGCTCTCCAGATGATTCTTATGCCTCTGAAGTTTGAGCTCCGTTGGCTTACAGCTATGCCCAGCTGGATATGGGTAGGCTCTGATGTGCTGATGTTTTTCCACCTGAGCTTCCTTTCCCATATGGAAGGGGTTCTGTAGGCATAAATGTGTGCCCCTAAGATTGAGCTGTCACAACATGCCTGCCACCGATGTTTGCCATTTTTCAGCATAGGAAAAGATCCTAGGATTGTAGGTTCTTGAAGCACCATATTTGCTAAACACAAATGAATCAGGGATTTTGGTAGGGATCCAGAGAGGGGGTTTTAAGGTGCTCCCTAAGTGAGAAAATAACAGTTGAATGAGATGACTGGTAAACTATTCTGTGAAATTCAGTAGAGCTGCTCTGAGCTTGGTTCCTGTTCTGGATACCAGGTTTTTGTCTTTTTTCTAACATCCTTAGTCTTCCTCACATGAACACCCATCTATTAATCAGACTGGGGCCTGCCCCTGCTCTGCCATGTCTGAGAAAAAGCCGGGAGTTTGCTGTGCACCCTGTGTTTCCCATCATGCCCCTGGATTGCAGCCATGCCACCTCTGTTATGATATAGTTACATGGGTAAAGTGAAACCATGTAACTTTACCCATGTAAATAGGTTACATGGGTAACCGGACAATAGTTAGATGGGTAAAGTGAAAACCAGAGCGGTGCATTTAATGAAGGTGGAAAAGGGGAAGTTGTGGGAAAAACATTAGGCGGATCATGGTACTGTCATGTTGATTCACGAGGGAAGAGGCACATGGTAGGTATTCAATAGATGGATATTGAATGAATGAAGGAAGAATGAATTTGGAGTTTGGGGAGCTAACCAAGCTACTTAACTTCTGAGCATCTATCTTATCCCAGATGAACAGACATTATGGCTTGATTGAGTGAACTATTAAATATGTTTAGTTTTAAATGCAGACATAAATAGATTTGATCTTTCAGTAGTCTGAATTTCCTCCCATCAGCTTTCCCTTAATTATCCACAAGTGTTCCAAGCCTTCATTAGCTAAATAGGATGCAGATGATGGTCATTAGTCTGGGATATAAATCCTGCTGGCACATTCAATGGCTTTTCACTTGGTTAATTGAAATTTTCAGTATTCATGGACTACAAGAAAACACTGTAATTTTATCATTTATTTGGTGGTATGTTTTTTCCTTTGGCTGATGTTTTATAATTATGCAGTTTTTTAAAAAAATAAATGTGAATGCCATACTTTGCCTGGAGGGAATACCACTGTATCCAGTGTATACCTATCAATACTAGTCTACTAAAGCATGAAGACCTAATGGAAATTCATACTTTGTCTAGAAATCCTAGAATTGGCTGGCTAAACTGTCTAAGAAAGCATCCAAGTAGTGTGCACTTTGGGACTCATTGATTTAAGTGTAAGAGACTTCCAAATTGTTAGTAATGTGATAGGTCTAGTCTTGACATCTACCAATGAGTAAGAAATCATCCATTGTGTCTGTGAGGTGCAAGGTATCAAATGGAGATGCTTTATGCAGACATCATTCCTTTAAATGGCTGTTAGCTTTCAACTGTATTTGACATTCATCAAACCTACCTGGGCTCTGTCTGGTGGTATCAGGCTGAGAGTGAAAAACACACCCAAACACAGGTACATACATACATAAAGGAACAAATAATACTTGAAATAAAATTTCATAATATTACTACCTTAGAGATTCAATTTCTGAATTTCTTAATTTTATAATTCAATATTTAAGCAATTCTCTTGCACATGACTGTTCCAATTTAATGAAGTGTCAGATGTTTGCTGTTTTAAAAATGTAAATCTTAGTTATAAGCATTACATAACAGAAAATGACACAGTAGAGATAGAATAGATTTATTTCTGTTTCTTTCTCTAAATTGAGTTTAATGGGAATAAACAGCATTGTAATAACTTTCAGAGGTAAACTCTCTCTTAGAAAAACGAGTATAGGACATATGGATTTGGCTGGTTGTAGTGGCTCACACCTGCAATCAAAAGTACTCAGCACTTTGGGAGGCTGAGGTGAGAGGATCACTTGGCCCAGGAGTTGGAGACCAGCCTGGGCAACATAGTGAGACTCCATCTCTACAAAAAATTTTTAAAAAATTAGCCAGGCATGGTGATGCATGCCTCTGGTCCCAGCTACTTGGGAGGCTGAGGTGGGAGGATTGCTTGAGCTCAGGAAATCAAGGCTGCAGTGAGTCATGATTGAGCCACTGCACTTCTTTCTGGGTGACAGAATGAGACTCTATCTCAAAATAAACAAATTAATTAATTTTTGGAATATATGAGGTCTCTTTTCAGTGCTCAATCACTTTGCAAAAACATTTCCACCAGCGAGAATTGGGTAAGCAACATACCTTCTGGAAGCCTCTCTCTGTAGGCTGGACTAAATGAGCCACCAATTACTGATCTCCTATCTGCGGGCTCTCTGTCTAAGGACTTATTAGGGACATTTTTTTTTTAATCCCAGTTCACTTTTCCTTTTAGGTCAGTTTTCCCTTTCTGCCCACTTGGAATATTTCTACAAACAGTTATTAATGTTAATTTAGGGAAGATATGTTGGAGTACCGGTCTTCTAAATTAACCACGAATGTATCTCAAAGTCAAATGCAAAGGCATTTTATGTTACGCTTTTTTGAATCACCCGTTGTGATGGTTAACTTTACATGTCAACTTAACTGGGCTAAGGGATGCCCTGGTAGCTGGTAAAACATTATTTCTAGCTATATCTGTGAAGTTGTTTCTGGAAGAGATGAGCATTTGAATCAGAAGACTGAGTGAAGATCTGCCCTCACCAAGGTGGGTGGGCATCATCCAATCCATTGAAGGCCCAAATAGAACACAAATGCAGAGGAAGGTGGAATTCGTTTCTGTCTGGGCTTGGACATCCGTTTTCTCCAGCCCTCAGATATTGGAGCTCCTGATTCTTGGGCCTTCAGACTTATGCTGGTGGCCTCCCTCCCCCTTCCTCTGGGTTCTCAGGCCTCCAGGCAGGGGCTGAATTACACCACTGGCTTCCCTGTGTCTCCAGGCTGCAGATGGCACATTGTGGGAGTCCTCAGCTGCCATGATCACACAAACTAATTCTCATAAGAAATCTCCTCTTATATATCTCTATATATCCTATTGGTTCTGTTTCTCTGGAGAACCCAAATTCATCTGTGAAATTCTCTTCCCCTCTGTAGATAATCAGGAGCTGACCATATTATTTAGTCAGATATGTTCTTTTATCAGAGGATGAAGAAAGAACTAAGCAGTATGCTCATTGATTTCCAAACAATGTGTCTGATAAAATCAGGTCCACTTTCTTCAAATTGGCCAAGGCTCTCATGACCTAAAAGGAAATGAATACGGGTTTCCTCACTTCATAGTGAAGAATTCAAGACCCCAAGGCCAGTGATCCACTTTAAGCTCACAAGGAGGTCTGTTAAGAAAGGACAAGAATTAGGCCCTAGACTCCTGAGCAAATTTGCTTTTCTGTCCAAAGGTTCTATCATAAAAGGCCAGCAAACTTTTAACTATAATATGGGGTCATGTTCAACTAGAGTCAATCAGCCACAGCCAGGATCTGCCCTTGGTAAAAGTGTGTCAAAGTAGATTGTAGTGGACTTGGCAATGCTGTGCACAGAGCTCCCTGCTGCCAGGAGTCCTGCCAGCTGACTGCCCTCAGCTATCAGTCCTCCCAGGAAATTGCCCTTGGCTGGAAACAGTCATGTTGCCCAGGATCACGCTGCCTTCCCAGGGCAGGCCTCTGTCTCACTCCAGCTTGGGATGAGTTTAATCTGCTTCTGAGCTCTCCATTTTGTTGGATGAGATCTTTGTTGAGTCTGCACCATGGTCCAACTTCTTTATCTTCTCTATCCCACATCCTTCCCTATCCTCCTATAAGTGGTGATCTCAGGAACACTTCCTAATAAAGCTTCTGCTTGCTAATTTCCATAATTTCCATCTCACAGTGTGCTTTTTAGGGAACCTAACCTGTGACCTGTGTCTTTAGATTGCTTACCATCACTATGAGCATCCAATATCCTCATGACTTAAGTCTTCATTTCTCTCCTATCAAAATCTGCTTTTGAAATTATTTAAAAAACAAGCTGGGTATGTTGGCTCACACTTGTAATCCCAGCACTTGGGGAGGCCTAGGCAGGCAGATCACCTGAGGTCAGGAGTTCGAGACCAGCCTGTCCAACATGGCGAAACCCATCTCTACTAAAAATACAAAAATTAGCTGGGTGTGGTGGTGGGTGCCTGTAATCCCAGCTACTCAGGAGGCTGAGGCAGAAGAATCGCTTGAAACCAGGAGGCGGAGGTTGCAGTGAGCCAAGATCGTGGCACTGCACTCCAGCCTGGGAGACAGAACGAGACTCTGTCTCAAAAAAAAAAAAAGAAGAAATTATTTAAAAAACCCCCCAAAACTCCAAGGTATAACAATATGCTTTTAGAAGGGATCTGATAAACTCATTCCCTTTCAGATGTAACAGACCAATGAACTATAATACATGAAGTGTCCAATTTTACCTTCTGCCATGACAACCCCCCCATATCTTAACATCCCTCATGAGTTTGTCTATTATGAATCAAAGCCTTATGCTAAAAACAGAGCTCTAATAAGTGAGATTTCAGGCATTAGTTTATAAATGGTCAAAAGAGAGTTCTCACCTATCTAAATTCTTTTTGGGAAATTGCTAAAACTGTCCATGTATAATACTGTTCACTTCATGCTGGTCACCCCACTAACAAGGTTAGAAGTCAATGCTCTAAAAAAGTCACTTGTGCTTTATTGTGCTTGTGCTCCTGTGACAAACCCAGCATCATGCCAACTTTGGTGGAGGTGACTCATTAGGAGTTTCCTTTTTAGTAGAAAAATATTGATACACTCATCAAGAAAGTCACAGCATGGCCAAGTCACCATTTTTTGAGTCTTTCATTTTCAGTAATTAAGGTGAACATGTTATTGGAAAGTTTAGAAAGCCCACCCAAAGTCACTCACAATAGCTGCAATTAGTAAACTGGAATGCCAGTTAAAGTCTTTTGAAGCGGAGAATGAAATGAGACTGACCAAGCGTCTACGTAAACTCCCCTTAGAAAATGGCTAAAGTAAGGGGATGGACTCTCATTGACCCGTGCCACCCCTCTTTCACACTCATTCCAAGTCTTGAGATTTTGCATACATTTGCCATTTGGCTAAAGTGTTTCCTTTCTACAAATGCAACATTTAAAATTACCTATGTATATATATATTTTTTACTGAAGCTAATTTCACCCATCTCTGACTCTAAATTTCCCTCCAAACATGTTTCTTTGGTCACTTGAGACTGCCCTCAAAGGTTGACTGGTATTGTTTAATTGAAGATCATTTCCCCTGGGGCTATGGCACTAATGTCTGAATTCTTAGACATGTTCCTTAATTTACTCTCCCTAGGGTGGCAGTGCTCGTGCATCTTAAAGCTTACTTAAAAATGCAGTTATGGTCTCTTGAGTTGCCCCCACATGGACTCTTCAGTAGCTGGAGAGTGGGTCCTCCCTATGTTCTGAGTCCCATTTCAGACGGAGAATGAAACTTGAATTCAGGGTTGAGCAGAGAAATTTTCACCGCTAGACTTGCATTTCCTGGAAAAAATTTTAGTTGCATCAGCCAGGGAATCAGGATCATTTCTATAACTAGCCCCTTTAGGGTTTAGACCAGTTTTCTCAAATGTGGGCAGTTTTTCCCGCTAGAGAACATTTAGCAATGTCTGGAGACATTTTTGTTTGTCATGACTGAGGTAGGTGGAGATTGTCAGTAGCATCTGGTGGGTAGAGGCCACACATGCTACAGAACCCCCTACAGTGCACAGTGTGTCCCCACGTGCCCTCAAAACAAAGAGTTATCTAGTCCAAAAACATTTACAGGGTCTTCACTGAAAAAGCCTGGTTTAGCCAAACCAAGCAGATAATAGACAACAGCTTTACGCTAAATATAAGGTGTATTTTACCATTATTTAGAAGTCTTTTATCTCTCTTCTTTCTTATATCCCTGAGCTTCACTTTATAATAGTGTTTCCTGTGAGGCTGCTTTTCCAGCACAGTGCTTCCAAAGAAATGTTTTGGGATAAGGACTGCAGTTTTGCCAGATGTTATTTTCTTTTGCATCTACTCAGTTCATATTTATTGGTTATCTTCTTTGTGCCAAGCACTGGGCTAGTAATGGGACTACTGCAATGACCAAGTTTCAGTGGGTCTTTACATTCTTGGAGCAGAAATCTGGGAATCAACACTGAGGCCTCTCTCATGGCACAGTGCTCATGTGTACAAATGAGTAAAGATGATGACAAGTCATGAGGAAAACATCTGATGGGAAGATTGTGGGTGGGGTAGTTCACGGTAGCATGTGGAATGCTGCCTGGTTCTTTGGCTTTTCTCTCTGTCCTGCCCTAATCTTTGAACAGACAGCAAGAATACTATTTCTTACATCCCCATTGTAATACAGAAATGAGAGAAACTAAGATATACCTGGCAGCACAAAGAGCAAGAGGACATGAAATTTGCAGGGCTATACCTGTCCTTTCACCACCTGCTACTGTGTTTCAGGGCTGAAATTAGGTCAACAGGATAGATCCTGGTAACTAGAATGCATCATGTGCCCTTATTCTCCTTGAGTGAAGATGACTGCTTCTCTATGGAAACCATTTTCTTCTTTTTTAATTTTTTGACAATTCTGCTTTTTGTGCCTGTTTTTTGTGAACTTTTCATTTTGTCCTTCTTTTTGTCTTTTGCCTTTCCTCTTTTCTTCTGCCACCAGAATTCTTCCCTTCTTTCAGTTTTCCCTTTTTAATTCAAACTTTCCCAGTAACATTTATTCCTTCCCTCTCAAATGAAATAAAAATGGCCAGCAAACCAAACTTGGAGATTATATCTAACCTAAACCTTGAACTTAATTTTTTAAATTAAAGATGCACTTTTGTATGTGTATTCACATTCTGTCTTTTCTGTCCTTTAATACTGCATGTTGTTTTGACCCAGAATATGTGCTGACTTAGATCCTTAGCTTTCTCACATGCTTATTGCAAAACAGACAAACAAACAAACAGAAAGCAAAGCAAACCAAAACCTTAGGTGAGGTGGTAAATATTTTTATGATGTTAAAAGAGCAGAGAGTAGGAGACAGTTTATATACACTAGATTTTCCAGCCATATACAAGCATGTTTATTGCAGCATACTTTGTAATAGCAAACAAAAGAAAACAAGAAGCAACAACAATGAAAGAACCAAAACCTGTTGATCAATAAAGGAAAGCATAAAATTATGATATATTCATATTATGACATGTTATATAGGTATTAAGAAGAATGAATTAATCTGCATGGGCTGAACTGGAAAGATGTTGATAATATATTCTTAATTAAGATGGTATGATCATAAGAACGAGACTTCTATATAATATGCGCAGACATATTTGCGTGGGAATAGAGAAAGTGTGGAAAGATGAATACAAATTTGTATTATGGGTTACCTCAGGAGGATAGGGTATAAAAGAGACTAACTCATTAAGAATAAATATTAGTTTTATAATTAAAGAAAATGTAAAAAAGTTTACTGAAAAAAATCTCAATACTGTTTGTATGGCTGACCATGGCTATGTATTTATTCATAGGATTGTCCAAAGGGAACATACTTGCATGTAAATCCCAATATAGCCTTGAATGTTGCAGTGCCTTTTGAGTGGTTCATCAGGCCAAGCAAGTATACATACAAATGTGTGAGAGGTCAACTACAGGGAGAGTGAGTGCATTAAAGATAGTAGAAAGGAGATAGCAAGCCCTGGTATTGTTCAGACTCACAAATCTCTTACATAGGCAGAAGCTCCATTCTCCCACTTGGGCTCATAACAGCTGTCATTTGAAAGATTGGGCATAGCTGACTCTAACATTATGCACATATCTCTTTAAGACAGAAGATCATATGTGTTTGGAGGTGGGTTCTGGAGTTAGATGGCTTTGCTTCCTGACCTAACTATGTCCAAGGTATATAGCAATTAACCTAATTGTGCGTTCGTTACCTTGTTTGTAAAATGAAGATAACAGAATCCTTACCTCACTGAATGGTTCTTGGCCCATAATGAACGTTCCAGCTTGGGTAGAGAAGCTTTGGGAATAGTGAAGGCAGACACATTTTAAAATTCACAGAAATCAGTAGGGGACACAGTTAGGTAGTGCCTACCTTGGATTGGAAATGAACATGGAATGGTCACTATCATTATATGTTAACAATTCTAAAGTGTTTTCCATCTTCCTATTTTGTAGACCACCATTTTCAGCACATTGGCCAGTGAGAAGTCCTTATCTGACTGCAAAAAGGTAAGTCAGCATCCAAGAATTCCAGCATACTGTCAGAGTAATAAAGGCTTCAGAGTTGGTGATATTCGAATGAAAAGCTGCGATATCAGTGAGGATGTTCTGATGGAATATTATGGCTCTCTTTCTTTAGAGATGGAAATGTGAATGGTTTACTTTAAGGATGTGGGAAACTCCATTATTTGACAGTATTTTGTTATAGAGAAGCTCTGGTTCCATATATTTACATCTCACTATTATCTGATACTTTATCCTGGCAGATGAGCATCAGGGGAGTTCAGAGAATGCTGTATAAACTGCATTGCAGGCTTCTATATCTTTGTTTGTAAATTTAAATATAATAAATGTAAACCTAATATAATGTAAAAATAATTTTGTATTTTGAAAGCTGATCATATAGCATAAAAATCTGGTTTGGATTCACCACAGTCAAGCTTGAGAAGTTGTCATGCTTTGCAAAAGGATTAGCTTCACTAGCATCTGATGGAAGACATCCCTGTGATAGATCAACTTTGAAGACTCCCTGCTATAGTCTTGTGTCTAATTCCTGGCTTTTGCAGGCCAGGGGTCACATTTATCCACCTCTTTAATCTCAGATTTAGCTAGATATTCTCCTTTTGGGGGGAAGAGAAGTGGCTTCATAGTCCAAACAACTCAAATTCTTTGACACTATCTATTGATACAGAAAACCAGCTGCATATAGAGTTGACCTGTGCATAATATATAATTCCTTGGCATTTCTTAAGATTTTATATTATGGCATTGTCTGCTGTGCCGCTTCTATTTCTAATGTTGCTTGATATGGAAGTAGGTAGCAGAGTTACTTACCTTTAAAGGTGGTGTGAGGGCCTACTGCTCTAAGTACCATTCATTTAATTATTTTGATAATTTTAAAATCTATTTTATTACATCTCCATCTTCACTGAATTATGCTATATTTGTCTTGTTCTCTGCATTGAGTTGTATGCTGCCTGAGAATGAAGACCATGTATTATTTTTAGAATTATAGATCTTGGCTAGGTGTGGTGGCTCATGCCTATAATCCCAGCAGTTTGGGAGGCCGAAGTGGGTGGATCACGAGGTCAGGAGTTCAAGACCAGCCTGACCAACATGGTGAAACCCCATCTCTATTCAAAAAAATACAAACATTAGTGAGGTGTGGTGATGTGCGCCTGTAATCTCAGCTACTCAGGGGGCTGAGGCAGGAGAATTGCTTGAACCCAGGTGGTGGAGGTTGCAGTGAGCTGAGATTGCGCCACTGCACTCCAGCCTGGACGACAGAGTGAGTGAGACTCCGTCTCAAAAAAAAAAAAAAAAAAAAAAAGAAGAATTATAGATCTTAGAGAATGAGAAGCACTTCTATGGGACTTCTAGTCTCACCTTTTTACTGGGGTGGGACTGCCACTGATATCATTTATAGATGGACCTCTATCTCTTAACTGGATATTCTATTGTCAGGGAACCCAGTGAGCCTATGTGTCAGGCACACTAATGTGCACTAGGGAGACAATCCACAGTGTTAGCAAGTTCTTTATTCTACTGAGCCAATAGCTGTCTCCTTTAGATTCCTTCCTAGATATTTAAGTATGAAGCCAGTTAATATGTTTTTCTGAATCTCCTTTCTACCCCATCTCCAGGCTAACAATTTTCCTTTTTCATTTCAATGGGACATTGATATGATTGATTTCCAAGAGCATGGACTATGAGATCATGTTTTCTGGTTTTGAAACCTGGCTCTGCTCCTCACTACTTATGTGATTTTGGGTTGATTGTATAACCTACTGGTTCCTTACTTTTATCATCTGTAAAATGGGCATAATAATTGTGCCTATCTTATATAGTATAAGAATTCATACATATAAAATGATTACAAAATTACCCAACACATAGTGAATGCTGTATTAGCTATTATTATTATTGCTTCTAGACAAGATTATCCTTTTTTTTTTTTTTTTGGCTCACACAATCTTTGTTATTGATGTCAAGAATTGTGTGTCATCTCCAGATGTGGTCTGTCTGGCAGAAAGCATCACGGGACTTCTCACTCTACATTCAGCAAGCTTTGTTTACACACCTGGTGTATGCCAGGTATGTTATAAGGTGTGGGCTATGATGTGAAGGCAAGCTACAGGTTTTCTTAAGTGTAGCACCACTACAGTGTAAGATGGCATCAGTTTCTACTTATGAGCCATATCTTTCTGTTGGCTATGTGAAGTTTGAAGTCTTGTGCGTGGCCTTAAGGCATTTTCACATGAGCTGCTGTTAAAACAGGACTTTCTTTTATATTTATGTAAATGATTCCTTGAATATGAAGATAGGACATTTAGCTATTCCTACTGGTTTTTAAAAATTTTGATCAATTAATTTTCTGAATTATCCAATTCTGTTATTAGGCTTATTCACTATTTCTCCCAGTTCAATGTCATGCACAAATCAACATAGCATAGTCAATTTCTATGACTTCAATTTTATCCATCTAATCAGTTAACAAGTGTTCACAGAACATCTGCTATGTGACATGCATTGGACTGTCATGATGAACAAATCACATATGTATGATCTTTACCCTCATAGAACTTATAGATATTAATAAAGTAATTAGCAAAATTGTGATTGATGATATAATTTTTTTTAAGTTGAGAGCTCATGGGATCCCATGCCAGGAGAACCTAACCTAATCAAGGCGTCAGGGAAAATTTCCCTGAAGAAATGATGTTCAAGCAGAGATCCAAAGAATGAATGAGATTTGGCTCCATGAGCACAACATGGTGGCAGAACAGCAGGTGTGAATGTCTATAGGTGAGGGGGAGAACTATACAAAATTCAGAGTGCCTGAAAAATGACAACTTGAATTGGAAAAGATGAGCAATGAGGTCCTGGTACAACTATATTAAGAGTTTAAATTATTCTCAGGGTAATGAGAAATTTTTAAAGGGCTTGAATTTGGGAAAGTCGGTGTATGTGCCATGATATGATTTTTAAGATCACTTGGTTACTGAAGGACAGAAGAAGCAGGATTTAGATGTGAAGTCTAATTATAAGGCTACTGCTATAATCTAGGCAAGAGATAATAGTGGCCAGGATCAGAATAATGGCAGAGGGGAATCAAGAAACATTTGAGTATTTCTCAAAATCAACAGTATATGATAGTTTGGTTATGGGAAAGGAAGCAGCTAAGGACAATTCTTAGATTTCTGACATCGGCTAGTGTCAGAATATTGGTGCTATTTTCTGAGACAGGAACCACTAGCAGAGGACCATATTTAGGGAAGAAGTTGATGAGTTCACAATGGTATATGTCATTTTGGTGGTATGTGTAAGATCTAGTAAGGATGACTAGCAGACAGCTGGACATTTTGATTTATAATTGAGGAAAGCATTCTGAGCTGGATATATGGATATGAGAGGAATATGCATAGAGAGAATGATTATAAGAGTGGGAATGGATGAGATTACCCAGAGATGGTGTGTAAGGCAAAAAGGAGGAGGGTTTTCAAGAGTCTTGAGGAAAGTTAACATGTAAGAGCTGGGAGAAGACTATGGATTTTGGAGGGAAGAGGGAAACTGAGAGGCCACGGAGGTTGGAAGACACCAGAAGAATGTGATGTCTGAGAAATCAAGTCAATAAAACATTATCTATAAAAAAAAGAGGTAGTCGTAAATATCAAAACTGTTGCTAAGTGATTAAGTAAAATAAAGACTGAAAAGTATCCGTTGGCTTTCTTAATACCATAGGCTTTTTGGTTTTATTGAGATCGAAGTGATGGACACAGAAGCCAGATTGTAGTGGGACTGGGACTTAGCTGGGATAAAGAAATAAAAAGTCTCCCTGCTTTGACAATTCTTACTCACATGAATTCTATCCCTTCTTCCTTCCTTCCTATTGCAGGGCAAGATGGACTTAGTAGGGATAAAGAAATAAAAATGGTAAAATAGAGTCTTCTAAAAGCAATTTGTTGCAAGAGGAAGGAGAGAATTGAGTAGTTGGGTAGGGTTATGGGTTGAGATATGGTATCTTACAATGAGGCATTAGAGTGTGTTTAAATGCTGTAAGAAAGAAAACAATAGGAAGGGAAAGGGGTAAGGATCCACAAAGAAGGTGGGGAATATTCTCTGAGTGACATCATTGAAAGGATTGAAGACTTTGGATCCTAAAGCATGGAATTATCCCTTGGATGGAGGGACACATCTTGCCCTGCAATAGGAAGGAAGGAAGAAGGGATAGAATTCATGTGTTAATATGGAAGGCTGGGCGCTGTGGCTCATGCCTGTAATCCCAGCACTTTGGGAGGCCGAGGCGAGCGGATCACGAAGTCAGGAGATGGAGCCCATCCTGGCTAACACGGAGAAACCCCATCTCTACTAAAAATAGAAAAAAATTAGCAGGGTGTGGTGGCACGTGCCTGTAGTCCCAGCTACTCGGGAGGCTGAGGCAGGAGAATTGCTTGAACCCAGTAGGCAGAGGTTGCAGTGAGCCAAGATTGGGCTGCTGCACTCCAGCCTGGGTGACAGAACGAGACACCATCTCAAAAAAAAAAAAAAAAAAAAAAAAGAGTTATGGAAGCAGGGAGCCAAAATGTGGCCATACCATCAGATGACTCTGATCAATTTATCTTTTTTTTTTTTTTTGCAGGGAAGTGGGATTATTGTTCAACCTCTTTTGAGTCTGCACAACTATGTTATCCATTCATGAGGTAGAACGTTTAAAAACGAAATGTTTAAAGTTATTTACACAAATACTATTTTTTCTATTTTATAGGCAGAAAAATCAAGAGGGACATTGGTAAATATTAATGTCAAGTTACACTATTTTCACAGTATTTATTTAGTCTACAGCTACTCCCCCATAATATTTTATATGGATAGCACCATTCACATAATCAGCAATCTCTGGGCAATCTAGTTTGTTCAAATGAGATCTATCTTAAGAAAATTATTCTAGAGTCTGTGTCACAAATAATGAAATATCTTCTGAGCCAAGGATCCATGCTGCTGACTAACTAGAGGTCTTTTCCACGGTCCACAGACCGTGTCCAATGTACATGAATTTTTTCTACATTCTGAACATTCTTCTCTTATATTCACCACCTTGGTTAATGGCTTCACCACACTTTTTTTTTTGAGACGGAGTCTCGCTCTGTCACCCAGGCTGGAGTGCAGTGGCGCGATCTTGGCTCACTGCAAGCTCTGCCTCCCGGGTTCACGCCATTCTCCTGCCTCAGGCTCCCGAGTGGCTGGGACTACAGGCACCTGCCACCACACCCGGCTAATTTTTTGTATTTTTAGTAGAGACGGGGTTTCACCGTGTTAGCCAGGATGGTCTCGATCTCTTGACCTCGTGATCCACCCGCCTCAGCTTCCCAAAGTGCTGGGATTACAGGCGTGAGACACCGTGCCCAGCCAGCTTCACCATACTTTAATATTATCCCTGGTTTCTCCCTTTCTTTTACTTCTCACATCCAACTAACTGTCAAATCCCGTAAATTCCATTGTGAAACATTCCTGGGATCTTCCTGTCATTTCTTCCCTTTCCTCCTCATCTCTCCTTTAGAAGTTTCCAACAACTCCCTTCTCACTCTTTTCTTATACCACGTTTCCCATATCCACTCCATTTTTCAAAACACTATGAAAGTTACTTTCTGGAAAACAAATAAACTACAAACAAACACATCCGTTTATGTCAAATCTGTAAACCAAAAATAAAATTCTAAGGTCCCCCAATCATCTAAAGGGACTTCCTCCTCAGCCAGAGCTCTTAAAACTTAACCTGAAAGACTGGTTCGGGCCATGAAGGGAACTGGGGTGGGACATGCCTCATTATACCTCTCCAGCATTAACGTCAACACAGACTTTAAGTCTGATCAGAAATATTTTACAGCCTGTTCGCTCTGAAGCCTGTTAGCTAAAAGCTTCATCTGCGTGATAAAACTTTGGTCTCCCCCACCTCTTATCGCAACGCAAACATTCCTTTCTATTGATCCCAGGTCTTTAGACAAACTCAACCAATTGTCAGTCAGAAAATGTTTAAATTTATCTGTAGCCTGGAAGCCCTGCCACCCCTTGAGTTGTCCCGCCTTTCAAACCAATGTATTTCTTAAATGTACTTGATTGATGTCACATGTCTCCCTGACATGTATAAAACCAGGCTGCATCCCAACCACCTTGGGCACAGGTCCTTAGGACTTCCTGAGGCTGGGTCACAGGCATGCATCCTCAACCTCAGGAAAATAAACTTTCTAAGTTAACGGAGACCTGTCTCAGATTTTCTGGGTTCACAAACCTGTACTTAAGAAACACCTGAGGGATTTCAATTTTATTCAAAATAAATCCCAACTCCTCTTGAGAAGTCATTACCATTCCTGTTGTCTCCAGTCTCAACTCAACTTGAGAAGTCATTCCCATTCTCTCCACCCGCATCTCCTGGTACTGCCCTGGAAGCTGGAGTCTAAAGGCCTTGAGCAGACTGCTCCTGAACGTGAAAATCTTGGATAACTGTGCCTGGTGTACAAACTTTTTCTTTTTTCTGGAATGCTTTCCTCTCCCTCTGGTCTGTCTGGAAAACTTTTACACTTTCCTGGAGAGGTCCCTTATATTGTCTCTTTCTTTTCAAAGACTATCTCGATTTCTCCAGTAAAGATGAGAGGTTTTACCTACTGGATTCGTAATATTTTGTACTTAATATAACATCTAACAACAATCACACACTTTGTCTAAAGTTTACCACATCCCCAGCCCTGTGAGAAGTGCTTTACATGGACTATTTAATTTGATTTTTCTAACAACCCTTTAAGGTAGGCAATTACTATTACCATTTTACAGATAAAGCAGTTGGGACCTTCAAACATTATGGAACTTGCTTGAGGACACTCCAGTATTAAGTGTTGGAGCCATGATGTGAATCCAGGCAGTCTGACGCCAGAAACATTGCTTTTAGTGTTTTGCTACCTCCTTTCCCCTTTGGATTTTAAATATTTATGGATCTGGCTTCCCCCTAAAATCAGCTCTTAGAGGAAAGGAACAATGACTGATTCTGTTAGGTATAGTAAAACAATACCTCACAGGTAGTAAGAACTCAGTAAACATTTATTTAATGAATGGATTTGCTATACACATGATTATCAATTGGTGTGCGATTATTCTAATATCATTTTGTTTGTTATTAGAAACAATCCTGCTATATACATGATTATCAATTGGTATGAGATTATTCTAATATCATTTTGTTATTAGAAACAATCTTGCTATATACTTGATTATCAATTAGTATGAGATTATTCTAATATCATTTTGTTTGTTATTAGAAAAATCTTTTTTTCCCTTTTCCTAGGAGTTGAGAAAAGACTATTTATACTCAGCATTTACTCGTGAAGGGAATTTCCACACTGAAATAAGGTGTTAATGGATAGCTGGGGAGATTGAAGTGTTTTGTTTGGCCTGAGGTAGCAAATCCCCAAGGCCTGCCTCCAAACACCACTTTAGAGAGTTATAAGAACCCTTGTTGTTATTTTCAGTCAAAGACCAGTTTATTCCTTAATTTGGAAAACCTAGGAACATCTAGGGGACATACATGAATTTACTCATTCATTAATAATTATTTATTAAGTGCCTCCCATTACAAGACAGTCGTTATTGTTAACATGTTGCAGAGGAAAAAACTAATGTGCTGAAACATGAAATGACTTATTCCAGGGCACATAATAAGCTTTAGTCAGACTCTTAGAGGATAAGCCTAATTCCTATTTTCTCATTTATTCCCTGTACAACCTCTGCATCCTATGCTGTTTAACTAAAACTCACATCTAGAAGATGTGTGTTGCGTTGATGAGCACCAGAGATTGCTCCTCAAGTCTGCTCCATAGTGTCTCATGCCTCCTGTTTTATGTTACTGATGTTTATATCTTTGTATCTTGATATTTTTACATCTCTTGGTGCGGGACTTTTGGACCCAGTTATTTTGACTCAGCAATTTTTGTGCAGGAACATTCTGACATAGCACTGTTGAACCTCCAATGTTTTAATTATTTGAAAGTACAGAGAAGGTGCAAAAAGGATATCCTCACCCCTTCTCCGAGGTCTTGTGACTCCCACCCCTAGGGCATATTTTAGAGGTAGGATAGGAGTGATAGACAGGTAAGTGTGATAGATGGGGTGAGGGTCATGGAAAGGATGAATCCCAGGGATGGATTAAAGTTTAGGGATGTCTGTTTCACAAATTACTTGAAATGAAAAAAATAGTGGTGTTTCCAGTTTGGCATCAAAATGCTGTGCTTCATCCTGCTGTAATTTCTGTCTACATATGGTAACCTAGAATTCCATCTGGAGTCCCTGTATGTAGTCATAGAAATAGGTTCCTGAGGTTGGAATCTTATTTTTAAACTTCAGCTACCATTTTGATGGTTTATTTTACCTTTTTGGTGGGGGAGGGGACTCTGTTTCTCTCTGTGTCTTCCCCTGCTCTCTCTCTGTGAACTTCTGATATCTTAATCCATATAAATGACAACTTTTAAAAAATAGCTTAAAAATTTCATTTAAAAGACGATTTTTAAAAATAATTTAAAGACAGTATTTAGAAAACGTATTCCTATCGTGTAAAAGAGTGTTGGTTTTAGAATATCTGGGATTTCCTAAAGAAAATCTGTTGGCCACTGTAATGGCATTATTGGTGGCTGTGTTATCTCTTCCTTTCAAATGTTGGCTTTGACTTGGGTTCCCTTTCCTGTTACTAATGATGTGAGTGTGTAAGTGTGCGGAGAATGTGCCCATGTGGTCCGTTGCCCACTGGATGAAGTTTTCATTTTTACTAGACATCAGTAATGCTTCATTCACATGGACAATTTTCCTTCAGGAAGAGGTAACTAAGAATAGAGAATGTAATGGGCTATTGGAAGACTCAACCTTTTCATCAATGTTGATGAATAGGTCTCTAGGTAATCACAACTCAAGGTAATAATATCAGTGGTTAAGACATTTACTGTCACAGTCCTTTGAAACTATATTGTGTCTGGCTTCCTCTTTTAATGTCTAGATGGTGTTCAGTGACCTCCACAAAGCTGGTTGGGCAGATTCCCATGACTCTCAGCCTCTTGGCAGAATTTTCAGGCTGGTAGGTCACAGGGACTTCTTCCCATGCCCTGAGAAAAGGCATGAAGACAAAGTCAGCCGTGTCAGCGGGAGGAAATTCCTCAGTTCTCCTCTGGTATGACAGAATGCCATGTTCTGGAGCAGTCACAGCAAAGAATATCATTTCCAGCAAATTTAAACACTGTTTACTTCTAAAATAGATTTTTGGAAGCAGTGAACATTCATTTTTGGCAGAGTGCTGTTTTTGCTGACTTGCTGTAGGGCTCTCTGCTGGATACAGGATGTTAGATACACATTGCAAAGTTCCTATCTTTTTTCATATGTGCCAATACAGGCCACTAATTTATGGGAAGGGAAGTTGCATCACTGTTAAGAGAAGGGAGTTGCTATACTCTTCTCCCCTCCCTTCACCCCCGCCACATCCCTCCTTTCCTCCCTCTTCTCCTGTCACTGTTTCTGCAAAGAAAGAGCTCCTAGCAGTGTTTGGGAAAAGGATTTGTGGTTCTGGATTCCATGTCCTCTCCTTTCAGGCCTTATTGCCCGGCTTTGGTTTTTATTGTTGCATTTTTCCATCCTGCTCTCCTGAGAGGCAGTATGGTGTGGGGGTTAAGAACACAGGCTTGAGGGCTTTATTTCTGAGATTCTACCACCCATGAGCTCTACAACTCTAGCCATGTTACTTAGCTTCTTTGTTCCTCACTTGTTTCATCAGTAAAATGAGACAAAGAATGATATTGACCTACAGAATTGTTGTAAGGATTGAATTTCTGTTTGGATCCATGGAAAACTCTTACAACAGTGTCTCAGTGGGTGTTCGTCATTATTATTTCATCCCTGCGCTCACAGAGAATGGTCTGAGCCTTGGTAGCTTTGAGACCAACTTTATCTTTTTGCTCTAACAGAGCAACAATATCAAGGAAAGTACATCAGTAGACTTGGGCCAACATTAGCATTTGGAAAAAACTTGGACTGTAGTTGCACTGGATAAATACCCTCAGATGGTTCTTTAAATCTTAAGATAATTCTTAATAATTGAAATAGACTCAAGTTCAGTTTTGTTATAAGTTCTAGTTCTATAGAAGCAATGCATTTCTTAATAAATGAAGCATAAAACCTTCTAAACAGTACTGTACAATGAATCTACTTTTCTGTATCTCCAACACCTAACACAATTATGAGCACATAGTAGACATTCAATAATGCTTGTTAATTCCTAACTTTGGCATGATATTATTTCTCCAAAGGCCTCCAGAGTAAGGCTTGAGGTAGAAAAGAAAGGAAGGGGAAGAGTCCCCTCTTGGTATGTCTTCATATGCCAGCACCTGGAACATTCACAGGTAGGAAAAAAGTACCTTATTACCTGCTTAGAGGTACAGAATAAAATACAAAATATTCCTCTCCCTCATATAAATATCCATTGCTTTTTCTAAATGTTCATCTCTTTTCACCATTAGCATTATAATATTTTAGAGGAGGTGTCATTTATTAATGTGGTATGGGCTAGGTAGAGTCAATACTGTGGGTGGAGTGTATTTGTGGGCTTTTCTTTGGATTGAAAGGAAGCATTTCAACATATGGATGGTTTGGGCTGATGAATATGAAGTGCTATGGAAATGTGCACTTTTTTGCTTGCAGTGTAGAAGCCATGGAGATAATTGAGTAGAGTGAATACTGGTGAGTTCCTCCGTGTGATAGCATTACATCTCTAGGCTAGGAATTTTTTATTCTTAAGCGTATGATAATGAAATTTTCATATGGAAAGTCACATATACCCAAGGTCAAACCAAGTAGTCATAGTTCATAGGATTAGAATTCATTGTGGAAAATAGTCTCATGGCCAGAAGAAATGCATTGCGTTTTTATGTGTAACACTTACCCTAAGCCAGAATCAAGAAATAAATAATAATCATATTTTGTTAAGGTATAATTTACATTCAGTAAAATGTAGTGATCTTAAGTGTACAGTTTAATGACTTCAATTTTTAAATTTTAGCAATAGAATCACATCAGTAGCATTACCTGGTGCCTTTTGGGGTGTGGGATTTTTTGTGAATTGGCATTACTGCTAACCACACCACTGCCAATGCTGGAGTATACCCATTATTCCTTCCTGGCAGCTGCTATAATTGTCACTGTCACTTCAGAATAAACAGCACATTTAGATACATGGATGTATAATATAGTCATTGTCTGTAGCAGTATCATTGCTAATAAGAAAGGTAGTTAAGGGCAAATGTCATGGAATATGTTGCTCTTATCCTCTTTGAGCTGTAATTATTGTGGCTGCATCTGCCTGAAAACAAGTTTCAAGAATATGACCTTTGTAGTCTCTGGTTCAGGGATATATTGGAAACAGTAATAATTAGCAGTACAACCCCCCCTTCCCCACACATACACCTTAAAAAAGCTATTTTAAGCTACCAATAAAACACAGGTTTTTCTCATAGCAATTCCAGACAGCCAAATAGTTTAAAGGGGGAACAGAAATAAGAGTCTTGCTAATCTTGCAAACTGTGCATGCAAAGGGCATTTAATAATAGTACTTTTTCTTGCATTTTTTTTTGTTGTTGTTGTGAGCAAATGCTGCAAACTACCAAGTTCAGCTGTGTAATCACTAACTTGATTTCACTCATTTCTTTGTTAAGTACTAAAGATATTATGGTGTGCTTTTGGCTGTAAATTGTCTTTCCCTTGTGATTCTAGAGTTTTTCTGCTTGGTTGCTATATTATTGAGCTTCAAGGGCACTGTAGCAACTTTTTCTCCTTCCTTTTACCTATTTTCCTTTCAGATTTTCCAGAATCTTACATAATCAAGACTGGGCAGTAGTTATTAAAGTATGTGCACGTATACACATGCATGCATTTAATTTTACATAATGTATTCTGGAGGGTGAGCTTTCATAGAGATACAGTCATTCCTCAGTATTGGTTGCAGGACCTCTGTAGATATCAAAATTCACTGAGGTTCAAGTTCCACAGTCCACCCTGAGGAAACCATGGCTATGAAAATTGATCTTTAGAATCCAGGGGTTCTACATCCCTCAAATACTGTGTTTTCAATCTACTGTTGATGGAATCTGTGGATGCAGAACCCTTATTTTCTTAGTCTACAGCAAAATGTGCTAGATGTGAAAAGAAGCAGAAAAAAACGTAAAAGATGAGTCAGTATGAGAAATGGAGCAGAGTTCGTGTAAATTAGATCTCTGTAATGGCCGGCAACTCTTTTTCATAAAAGTGGAGTAATCAGAATACTTAATTTACCTCAGTTAAGAGTGATCACTCTGGCTATTGTTGCTCAAAATGGCACCAAATCACTCTACAATTGAGCTAATTGCAACCTCTGATTTAGTGGCTTAGCGCTGTGATTTTTCTTTTATTTACATAAATGATCTGTGGAGCAAAAGCAATCCCTCCTTTTCTCCTCCTGTTTATTGTTTTTCTTTATTATTTTAATTCCACCCTTTGATGATTGCTATAATCTCCTAAATCATTGCTCATGTTAATCACTAGATAGAACAGCTATGTAATGGTGACCTCAGAGCTGTTAGACTAAGCAGCCAGTATGGTGGGTGCACCATGAGACCCAGACTTACCTGCCACGGACTGTGCACCTGGTCCTGTGAATTCTCTTGCAGGCTCAGGTAAGGCAGAGTCAACAGGATGCAGTGTTTCAGGGAGAGGGCTATTTCTGTGTTTACAAAAGGAGTTGTCCAACTCCATAGAGTTGACCTCTGTGGTCATGTCTAGTTCTAAAACTCTATGGTTTCATTACTTGCTATGATGGAAAATAGTGGTGGTGGTAACAGTAGTGCCAGTAATTCCTTTAGCAGGGTGTGTGTGTGAGTGTGTGTGTGTGTGTGTGTGTGTGTGTGTGTTTAAGAGATGGAGTATGTTGCCCAGGCTGGCCTCAGACTCCTTGGCTCAAGCCATCCTCCAGTCTCAGCCTCCTGAGTAGCTGAGTCTACATGCATGTCACCGAGCTGGCTTTCAGTGTATATTTTTTGAGGAGCTACTGTGTTCAAGTACCAGTTCACATCAGTGACTAAAAGAGATAAAAAAAAAATCCTTTCACCTCAGAATATATTCTATTGGCAGGTGAGACATAATATACAAAACACAAATTAATTAATTACATAGTATCTTAGAATGTGAAGAGAAAAAATAGGAGATTTGGAGGCTCTTGGGGAGGCACATGTTACAGTTTTAAATAGGGTGGTCATTGAGAAGGTATCATTTGGTCAAATGGGATGGAGAGCTAGTTACACAGATCTTTGGAGGAAGAGCACTCCAGGCAGTGGGAACAACCAGTGCAAAACACTAAGACCAGAATGTGCCTGGGGCATATACAGAAGAGTAAGGAGGCCAGTGTGGCTGGGTGGATAAAAATAATAAAGGCTAACATTTATTGAAGGTTTATTATGTGTCAGTGACTGTAATAGACTCTTTTTAGGGATTAATATATTTCATACTTGCAACAGCCTTATGAGGCATGTTCTGTTCCCATCTTTATTTTCAGATAATGGAATGGGGGCACAAAGAGGTTAATTAACCTGTTAAAGGTCACTCGGTAGGCAGATGCAGACTGCCCAGATTCAAATCTAGTCTGTCTGACTCCAGAGTTCACGTTATTTTTTTAACCACTTGTAAAGAACACAAGAGGGTAACAAAAGTAGTTTTCACTTATGGTTAATAGCATTCCAAGTCAATATGAGAGCTCTTCATTGCTTATTGATCAACTCATTAGTGAATACTCATTAATTATATTAATATTACTTATTAATTCATTTTGAAATATATGTTATGTGGCAGGAATTGAATCAAACACCGCCTGGGAGAGGTTTGCTCAGGTTAGTCCCTTTTCTTTTTTCTTTTGCTCAGGCAGATTGAAGGAAGTGCCTGGTATTGTGAGATGGGATTTGCTTATTAGAAACCAAATGTCCAACTTTATGGCTGAATCTGGTGAAAGTGGTGAGGGCTGAGATTTTTGCCTATCATGGCATTATTTTATTTTGTTAGGTCGTGCATTTTGCCTGGAGTTTTTTTTTTTTTTTTTTTTGAGACAGTCTCACTCTGTCACCAGGCTGGAGTGCAGGGGCGCGATCTCAGCTTGCTGCAACCTCTGCCTCCTGGGTTCAAGTGATTCTCCTGCCTTAGCCTCCTGACTAGCTTGGATTACAGGTGTGTGTCACCACACCTGGCTAATTTTTTGTATTTTTAGTGACGACATTTCACCATGTTGGCCAGGCTGGTCTCCAAACTCCTGGTCTCAAATGACCCACCCAACTCCCAAAGTGTTGGGATTACAAGTGTAAGCCACCACACCCGGACTGAAAACAATTTTTGAAGAAAAATATACAGTATTTTATAGAGCTCCATGTGTGCCATTTCAATATACTGTCTTACAAAGCTCCCATAGAGACTGGGCCTTTGTTATGGAAAAGCATGCAAAGTATTTAACATATATCACATTTTGCATACTGTTGGTCTTCAAATATTGATAATAAATTGGGTAATGGGCAATTGCAAAGTGTTTTGAGAATATGGGGTTGCTGAAATATGTATAGAAAATGGGCGGGCCCTGTTAGATTAAGTAATGATATTTTAAAAGTGTTATCTGACTCCAGTAAAATGCATTGGCAAAAGTATACTCTGAACTGTATGTGATGTTTCCCGCTTGGGCTATATTTCGTGTTGCCTTTTCTTAATTCTGTCAGTAACAATAACAGTATCAAAAAGGTGGAGGATTTCAGGACATACCCTAAAGTCACAAAAGCATTTTTAATTTTACTATTTTATTTTAAAAGTCTGGGCAGCTAGAGGCATATTTTGTGACATTTTGTAAAGTTGAAGCCTCCAGAGATCCTTAAGTTCTACCCTCATTTTGGACAAGCTCTGAACCTATTACCAAATTCTTATGTAAACTGTTTTTGATAGTTTAAGTTTTATATTTCTACTTAGCTCAAGCAAAGATAAGTGTCAGATTAGGCAAATTTAGTGTGACGCCAGAAGCCTGCTTATATTTATGGAGATTGTAGTTGCTTAAAAACATTAATTTCAAGTATTAACAAAAAGATTTAGCATTTTATCGTTTCACTGTTACTGTGGCTTTGACCACAAAATGTTCATTGTGTTGGGGAAAGAGTCTGCATTTGGCTTTTTAAAATAGATATAACCTATTACAAGGTATTTTTGCAATTACAATTTCTACGTTGTGCATCTCAATAACTTCAATTTATTTTTTCTCTTTTCTTTCTTTTTTGCTTTTTCTTCATTTCTCTATTGAGCTTTTTCTACTCACTCTTTCCTTTCTTCCTTTGTTTTTGATTTAATACATCAAGTAATAAGGTATAAGTTGTTTTCATGTCCCCACCTGACCCCTCACAGATACACCAAATTTATTCAAATCTTCTTTAGGCTCTGGCTGAGAGGATGGTTTGGATTCATCTAGACTTCATAAATTAATTAATTAATACATATTGATGGCCTCTCATGGATTATTTGGAAGATAAAAGACAAATGACTCCCTGTCATAAATGCGCTCATGGTTTACTTTAGGGGAGATGAGGCTACTTGGATCAATGAATCACAATAGGGTAAACTCTATAATAAATGTATAAATAAAATGCTTTGATAGCAGAGAAAAGGTTGTGAATAACCCTCCCTGGGAGAGCCACTAACTTGTTCTACCTGTTTCATTTAAACTCTTACTGGGACACCATCTAAATGCATTCCTGGTTTACTGAATAGGTTTTGGCTGCTTGGTGGACTATTTATATTCTGAGTCAGGGGCTTGAGGGAGGTCTTCTTAAAGACTTGCCTGCCCCATGGAAATGAGTGGAATAAGTCACCAAGTTGCTAATGCTTTAAATATTGTCACAAAAGGTCTTGAGCTCTGTCCTGCTCTGTTTGGGGTTGAGCCTAAATTTAATGCTCTTTTAAAACCACAGACCATGCAGACTGCCTACATATGTTGAAAAAAAAAATAGTGCTGCTGGTGTAGAACTGCAAGATAAGCAGAGAACCCAGTAAATGACTCAGTGGGAGTTTTCCTCAAGGGAAGGATAAAGAAACGAGTGCACTGTTTTTTTGGCAAAGGAAACTGGTGCTTAACATGATTATTGTAACTCTGGGCACTTAGCTTTTCCCACTGGGGAGATCAAAAGTGATAAAGGCAGAGCTGCTCTTCCAAAGCTGAACCTTCATGAGCTCAAGTGTCCAACTGAGATGTCAAAATGGCCAATATCTCTAGCACAGAGAGCCCTTCAATTAATTAGCCCTTTGGGCTGGCAGCTTGCCACAAAAGCACCTGAACAGAGTTGCCTGTGGAAAGAACTGCAGAGGGCCCTTGCCAGCGACCTGCTGCTTCCCCAAATCCTGCCACAAGCATCCACCTGTCTCCATGGGAAAGACAGGTGCCATGTCCTTTTGATGAGGAATCTGTTTCCACTTGGTGTTCTTTGCAAAGATGTTCCTGGCAAAGTATTTTCTTCCATGCAGCCCTAGAGGTGGAAAAAGGATGAAAACGAAAGTACTGTTTTACATTTCTTTTGGAGCGCCATGAAAGTCAGCACCTAGAGCAAGGAGAAGGTGTCTAACAAAGGTGGCACTCCTTGCTGAATCAGCGCCTGTCATTGTGCATTAGCTCTGGAAATCTCAAGATTGTTCAGGTAGGAAGAGATCTTGAGGCTCTCTAGTGTTTTCAAGGTGATCTGGTGTTTTGAGGGAGGTATTCTCTTATTACCTCTTAACGTGATTTGGGACTCAGTTGTTACAAGTGCTGTTGCGAGGTGTCTCAGAGGAAGCATCGTGTAGGTTTGCAAATGTTTTGCATGCCCTCGTTGTGCTTCCATGCAGAAGGAAGCACTGCTTCTGTTGCTGCAAGGGATGCCCTTTGGATGTTGTGCTTTGGTTTACTCAGAAAGGACAGAGAACGTGCTCATCTTCCTTACAGAGTTGTACTGGGAAAGAAGTCACAGGACTGCAACGAGGGCTGTGAAGCTTCTAGTCCTATCCACCCCAGGGCGTCTGGCTTTCTTCCTCTGGCCTTAATCCTGGGCCACTCTTCATCTTGGTGGGCAGATTTCTTTTTATGATCATTTCCTCAGTGATTCTCCTAGCTCTCAAGTATTTTTAAAAATCTTTGAAGCTTCTAAAGAACATGATGATGTACTTTCACACATCAAATGGGGTTATTAGTTATGTATTTACTGGTGAACATAAGTTATGTAATATTTATTAATATTAATATATTATGTAATGTTAATTTTAATATTTAATTGTTACATAATCTATAATATTATTATTTAAAGCACCAGATGATAAAATTTCCAATTCTTCTATAACCACTAGATGACTCTGCAGCCAAACTGCCTGTATAAAATGCTGCCTCCAGCACTTATTAGCTCTGTAATGCTGGGTGAAATTACTAAACCTCTCTGAGCCTTCATCTCTTCATTCTTAAAATGGAGATAATAATAGTATCCACCTCATAGAGTTACTATCCAGTCATGACATCGAACCCAAAGACCAGGACCTTATGAGAGTATCTACATCATTTCTGGATGTAGCTTCTCTGGAGAGGGAGACAGATCTACCTACCCTCTCCATGGCAAATTACCCCGCATACATGCTACATATAATGGTGGAATTACTCCCATCAGAAAGGGGAAATTTAGACATTTGCAGCAGCTGCTGGTTGTACAGTCCTGATACCTGTGCAGGCCAATGACCCTTGATTAGGTCTCACTTCTGTTTCCAGGAGATAATTTCCCAGGCCACTGGTTCTTCCTCTGAGAGGGCTTGCTCTTACTATTCTTCTCCTTGGCCACATGTGAAGATGGCACTGGAGAATATGCCCTTCCTAGGGGAGGAGCTACTTTCCTAGCCTACTCCCTGCTCATTGAACAGCCACAGTCCATTTCATCTTAGGCTCTCTAGCTCTCTCAAAAACTTAGTTGGCTTTCTTCTTTGGTTTCCAGTCAGTTTTATATGTTGATAGGTATACTCATAATTATCTTATTTTAAAAAATTTACATCTCTTTTTTCTTTAAATTAAAGTATAACCTACACTTAGAAAATATACAGCTTTTAAGTATACTAGCTCAATACATTTTGTATATTCCCATGTATTCACCATCCATATCTGATCTAGAACTTTCCAAGTACCGTGGCAGACTCCTTCGTGCCCCCCAGTAAGACAACCACTTTTCGGACCTCTTATCACCATAGATTAATTTTGCCTGCTTTTGAACTTTAAATAAATAGAATCATACCATAATTACTTTTTTGCTTCTGACTTCTTTTGTCCAACATTATGCCTGTGAGAGTCTCTATGGTCTTGCATGTAGCAATGGTTGTTTTTCTTTCCAGGGCTGTTCAGTATTCTTTTGCCAGAGCATACCACAATTATTAATCCATTCAACTGTTGGTATACTTTTTAGTTGCTTCTCATGAGGCTATTGTAAATAACACTACGATGATTATTCTTGTACTTTTCTTTTGGTGGCCACAAGCACACTTTCACTTGGGCATTTGTACAGGAGTGGAATTTCTGGGTCATCTGGCATAGATATTTATGTTTAGCTTTAGTAGAGCCTTTCTAATTTTTTTCCAAAATGGTGTATCACTTCTTTTCATAGCCTGTAAGAGATAAGTACTATAATCTAGAGCTCTGTGAGGTTGCAAGCTCTATACCAATTATAATAAGTTTTGCCCCGTTCTCCACTGTGGTTCATAGAACCCGGATAAAGAATCTTTTTGACCAGAGCCCCTTGTTGGCATGAGCTATTTCCACTTCTAGGATGCTCTCCTCCATTCAGGGAAGGGGAAGGCAAAATCTGCTGAGGGTTCTGTGGGGTGTGTTGGCTTCCTGGTCCTTTTTCTTGGGGGTTTTGATTGAGCTGCACCTCCTCAATGGTTACCAGTACCTCTTGGACTGGATCTGCCCTCAGCTCTTGAAAGACCACCAGCTCCCCTTGCATGCTCTAGACATTATCAGTGAGAGCCTGGGAGTCCCTGTCCTAACTGAACAGTGATTCTAGAACTTCTACAGGAACACTCCTTACAGATAAGCTGCCTGTTTGTTCAGAGACCCCTTGGGAGAAAGCAGGACACTGCATTCCCTCTTCTTTGGAGCTGGCTTCTTCATAAGCTCTAGGGGCCAGCAGCACTGACCTTGTGCCCAGGCAGGGTGACTGGAATTTTACCTCATCCTTTGCCCATTCAAGGATTTCCTTGGGGAAGGAAGCAGTCAGAGTGCCACATCTATCCTCAAGTTTATTCTCATTAAGCACTGGATTGATTGGATTTAGCTCCAAGGTCAAAGTATCTGAGGAATCCTGGCTGGGATTCTGGTCTTCTGTCTGTGCCAAGGGCCTGGGAGTCCCGGGGATGGAGCTAAACAAAGGTAAAGAAGCAGATGGTGCTGGTCTATCAAGTGACTTCTGCTGGACTGTGGTCTGCCTGGAGCTTTTACAAATGCAGCTTTGGTTTTGTGTGATACAGTTGGATTAATCTTACTTAAAGGCAGAAGGGGTGGATAAATGTGTCCAAAGAAATATTGAAGAGTGACCTTTAATTTCTTAAGGCAGCCTGATTGAGAGGAAGGTCAGAACCCAGAATCTTTGTGCTATTAAGCAGGACTACATTTACTCCTTTCATTCACTATTCTTTTATTTGAGTTGAATTCTTCCTGTTAATTTATAAAATAATCAACTATGGAATTTCTGGCTTTATCCAATGTGTTTTACCTGAGTGTCCCAGGTCTCACCGGGCTCTCACAAAAATATCAAGAATATTATATTTTGCCAACTCCTAGCACCCACCTGCTGAAGTAGTCAACTCTGTTCTTGGCCATGTTTCTCACATCATGTATTTCTGGAAGCCTCCAAGAGTTTTTCACATCTACTTCTCAGGTTTCCTCATGGAAATCTGCTAACTAAAATTACCTGAAAGAAGATTGTCACTGCCTTGGCCTTTGGCTTTCTGTGAAAATACTGCTCCCCTGTTGGTCTGGTGGGTGGGTGCGCACCACCACTGCATGGCTGTGCTCTGTAATCCTGCAAAGTGCTGCTGTGCTTCAGTGATGAAATGGGAGAACACGCTGCTCACCAGCTCTACCAAGAACTTGGGCCTTCAGGCCTCAAACCAGCACTGCTTGTGCTCAGAGTTTCACAAACTCCTTCGTGAACACAGTGCTGTCAGTGTCTGTTCTTACCACCCTCCCCAGTGGGTCTCAAGACCTGTTTTCAAATCTAAGAGGAAAGATATTTGCCATAGCATTCCCCACCATTATGCTTGTCTGCTCCTTCCTTGTCCATATTGTTCTTTTCTCCTGAACTCCCTTGCACCAAAATTTATACCCTCTCTTTCATCCAAAAACAGCTTTTAGGTGTCTTGGTTTTTAAATATATATGCTCAGATGGTCAGTGGTCCAGTTTCATAAACAGGGAGCCTGGGAATCCTAATCTTGACTAGCTAGGATGTTCTGATAACCTATCCAAAGTCAGTGCTCACAAGACTTCCAGTTCTAGAAAAGTGTGAGGGTGAATTAAGTAAAATTTTGGTCTTTTTGTTCCTCCAGACACCAATCAGCTGGTAGAGGAAATTCATTCTGTTTTCATTGCTCCTTATCTCTGTAATGTTCATTTCAACAATGTCTGGATCGAAAGGATTGAGAGAGCCAGAGTGTTTATAGATTCTTAACTTGATCTCCATTCATAAAAAAGGAAGCTAGTGCACTTATTGAACAACCCATTCAACATCCTTGAAACCAAGCTTGCTACCTCAGCATTTAAAAAATTGCCTTTTGTCTGCAAACCCCTTCTAGTGGGATCAGCGAATACCAGGCAAATTCATGGCCCAGTCAGGAAAACCTGCCAGTTTGGCTTAATGTTTTATTGCTATTTGTAGCAGAATTTTAAAAATATATATACTTTATGTGAAGGAATAGACAATTCCAGAGAAAAAGACTGAAATCAGATTGATTCTATGAAAATTAGCTACTTGTAACTATGTATGCTCTCTCAAACTAATATTGATTGATCAAGGGAAATCATGTTTGAGTCACCATGATGTAGTAAAAAGATCAAGATCAAGACCTTGGATCTGGTTTCATCATGGACTTGTGTGGTTTGGAGGAAGTATCTTAATTTCAGCATCTATTTTCTTATGTGGCAAATGATTGTAATAGCATTTAGGCTCAATATACAGTTTTTTGTGAGGGTTACCTGTATATCTGCTGGAGGGGCACTAATGTGGTTGCCTCCAGTGAGGGTGGGGAAGAGGAGAAAAAGGAGGAGGCAGAAAGAAGACTTTCTGTGAGATCTATGGGAGGACAGGAGGGGAAGATTTAAAAAGTTGTTACGGTTTTGTGAAGGGAAGAACAGGGCAGAAAGAGCCAATTGGGGAAAATTTGTTGTGATGTTTCATCCCTTTCTAATGAGAGAAGCTGAGGCAGTGCCCCTCTTCACGAATTACACTATGATAAACCCTATATACTGCTAACTATTCAAGAGCAGGAATGGCAATACTCTTATTTCTGTCTTCCCAGCATACTCAGACCAGACCCTGGAACGGAGCAGGTTTTTGATGAATGCCTGTTGAATGATGAATAAACGGATGAAGGGAACCAAGGTATAACATAATCACATGAGGATACAAAGCAATCTCTAGATGAATGATTGCTGAATGAATAAGTGAATGCACAATTTTTATCTGACGATTGTGTAATTTAGGTTAATTTGAAGACTGTAGGGCACACAAATAGGAGGGTACAAAATACAAAGTGCAAAACACTGGTGAAACAGCACGCAGACTGTTTTGAACCCCTGCTGCTACTGCAGCTGCAAGGGTTGGTTAGGAATTTGTTCGTGTGATAAACAAAAGGACTATGTACATACAGTTTTGGGACTTCCAAGTAATAAGGGTATCGTTTGCACTTTCAGTCTGAAGATTTGTCCTCCAATAATGAGGCAATGGGAAAAACCCCTGTTGCTGCCATACAATGTTATACAAAATGTGCATTGGAAAAGAAGAGCAGCCCCTGTAAAATTGGGTGAATGTGTGGAAATGCTCACAGCTGTGTTAATAAAGTATTTAAAAGTCTGACCTTGAAGCATTTGCCAAAAATTTACATGCTAAAGAACTGTAAACCCACTAGAGCCTCCTTTGCACGCTGTCAACACTCTGCTTACGTTTATTGCATGCATGAGCTAATCAAGGGAAATTGGATCAGGACTTTTAGAACCTTCTATTCTTCTGTTTTGTTTACCAAAACACTAGCTTCTAGAGAGATTGGAAAAATAATGGGTCATCTAGATGGAAGAAGATGTGGTATTTAAAGAAATTTATTCACAGATAGGTTTAGGACTTGGCAAGGGAGAATGAGGTTATCTGTAGGCCTATATTTTTCATTTCAGAACAAAGAACTGTATCTGGCATAGGAAACAGCCAAAGATAAGCAGGATATAAAAAATGAGTCTGAAAATTATTTGAGAAAGAATATTCTGTCATGAAATGTGCTTTAGGGGTAAAGAAGGAGAATAGTTGAATTTCTTGAATCACCTGTGGGGGAGGATACTTTTATGCAAAAAAGCTTGCCACCGTAAGGTAGACAAATACCAAAAGCTTAGCTAGCTTTAGGAGCTTAGAGTAAAGGGGAAAGAGGAGCAATAATACTGGTAGTGCCAAGCCACTTGAATTAGCTGAGATCTCTTACTGCTCTGTGTCTTCCAACATGTTGTTCCTTCTACCTTTCCCTCCAACTTTGCCAGGAAGTGCTTCAGCAGGCCCCTATCACATGTTACCTTGGCAGCAGAGACTTCCACCACTCTCCAAACTGCTTTCTGTCCTTTGTTTCCCAGAACAATTGGACATGTATTTTGTTTCTGCAGCACTCATTCACCTAAACTTCATGAGCACCTGTCATGTGCCAAGCACTGTGAACACAAAAACGTGTAAGACAAAATTGCTGTCTGCAAGAGGCTCACAGTCCAGTAAAGGAAGTAACATTTGCAGCAAAAAAACTACCCAAAGGGTATGGAAGATGTGCTGTGGAGGGTGACTTGGTGGGGAGAGGAAATACCATTTCACATGGAGAGAACAGCTCAGGTAAGCCTGGGGAGACTTGAGATGCCTGTGGTTGCATTTCTGGCATCACCGGTATTTCAATGGGTAACTGTCAACCTCATTTTCAGTTCTTGGAATTAAACTGATTCATCTGTCATATAAACCAGGGGTCCCCCAACCCCCAGGCCATGGATCGGTATTGGTCCGTGGCCTGTTAGGAACCAGGCCACATGGTAAGAGATGAGCAGTGGGTGAGTGAATGAAGCTTCATCTGTATTTACAGCTAATCCTCACTCGGATTACCACATGAGCTCTACCTCCTGTCACATCAGTGGCAGCATTAGATTCCTATAGGAGCACAAACCTTATTGTGAACTGTGCATGTGAAGGATTTAGGTTGTGAGCTCCTTATGACAATCTAATGCCTGATGATCTGAGATGGAGCTGAGGTGGTGATGCTAGCACTGGGGAGTGGCTGCAAGTACAGATTAACATTAGCTGAGAGGTTTGACTGTACAGAGACCATCATAAATCAAGTGCTTGCAAACTCATATCAAAACCCTATCAGTGAGTGGCAAGTGACAAGCTGGTGGCAGGCTTTATAGTGGCACGCAGGATGATGTGTTTCAATTGTACAGCTGCGTCTGGTGGCCTTAAAAGTATGTTTGAGACAGCTTCAAATCTCCATACATTCTGAATTCAAGTCAAGATGGGATATTCTGAGATCACCACAAAAGTACTGGAAAGCCTGCTTCTATTTCCAACAACCTATCTTTGTGAAGCAGGGTTTTCTGCAGTGACAGCAACCAGAACGAGATTACGGAGTAGACTGGACATAAGCAACATACTTCGGGTGTCACTGTCTCCCATCACCTCCAGATGGGACCATCTAGTTGCAGGAAAACAAGCCCAGGGCTCTCATTGATTCTACACCATGTTGAGTTGCATAACTGTTTCATTATATATTACAATACAAAAATAATAGAAATAAAGTGCATTATAAATGTAATGCACTTGAATCATCCTGAAACCATTCCTCCCCACACCCTGGTCCGTGGAAAAATTGTCTTCCACGAAACTGGTCCCTGGTGCCAAAAAGGTTGGGGACCATTGATATAAACCATACATGCTGGATGGCATTAAAGAAAATCATGTGGAACCCTGGCCAACCCTATCCCAACTCACTTCTGTTTGACCCAGACCC